>NC_000010.11:3343333-3494848 GCF_000001405.40 Homo sapiens | reverse complement strand
TCTGCATCTTTCCCATCCTCCCCACCTTCCCCCTACAGTTGCCCTCAAGCTTCAGTTCCTAAAGTAGAAAAGAAATAAAAATAAAGCGAAACCAGTACGATGACTCACTGGTGAGCCAAGTATAATTTTCCTTTAATACCGCACAG
Source organism: Homo sapiens (assembly GCF_000001405.40). Classification (NCBI taxonomy): domain Eukaryota; kingdom Metazoa; phylum Chordata; class Mammalia; order Primates; family Hominidae; genus Homo; species Homo sapiens. The sequence goes on along the minus strand of NC_000010.11, from coordinate 3,494,702 downwards.
CATATAAGGCTAATTTTGAGACAGCTCGCTTTCCCCCATGGAATAGCCAGATAAAGTCACTTTCTTGAGGAAACACAGCTGCTTCTAAAGAGAGGAAGAAATGACTTTCTCTGTGGTGATCGCCCGTTTGGAATGTCCCAAGGCTACATTCAGTGCCCCCTTCGCCACTTCCTCCACCTGGGAGCACCGCAGGAGTCGGAATTCCAAGTGTGGTTCATCCACAGCCTCTTTCTCATGGCCTGAAACGTGCTTTTTACTGGAAAACACTCTGATACATCCTGAAGCTAAATGCTTCTTAGAATACACTGTGATGTAACACTGTGATGGAAATCATCCCGTAAAAGCCGAGTGAGGGCAAGCATTCCCCAGTCAGGCGGCGTGAGGCTTGCCTGACGTTCACGCACTTCTAACAAGAAAGGAGGTAGCTCACACTCAACGCCGTTACTTAAGTAAGGTTAATAGAACAGCAGACAGGAAAAAGCACAAAAACTTAGGAAGACACAGAGCCATGGGCTCCCCGCCAAACACCTTCGGTGATTGCAATACAGAAGACGGCACGTGGAATCTGCCCTTGACTCCTTGAAAATACGATGTGACCGAGTTTTCAGTGTTAACAGGAACCGAGACAAAAACGTTCACGTATTTTGTTATCATCTGTGCTCTGGGACATGAGTTATGTTCTTGAAAATTCTGAGTTTGGGCTACATTATTTTAAGAGAATTCACAATAAAACCTTATATAATTATTTGTTCTGTGATGGAAATGTTCAAAGAAATAATCTCTTCCTGGGTACAAAAGTGGACATTAGGATAGACCAGAAAGATTAGTCCTCTTTATATACAAAAACAGGTTTGGAGAGAGGATTGTCAAAGAGGTGGAGAGGCAGCCTCAGAGAGAGAGAGAGAACAACCTCAGATGAGTCATTCAAGTCTGCTAAACTTCAACTTACCCAAATGAAAATGAAGATAATGATACCTGTTCTTATAAGGTCAGGCAGGTATCATTGTTATGACAGCAAATGAGATGCTTCATCTGAAAGCGCTAACCAACCTTGAGACAGTATTTAATCCCACTGAAGACACCTCTGTTCATGAGCTTTGGTGCAGAAACTAGTTTTCAGAAACAAATCAGTTTAAAAAAAGTACTTAAAATGTATTTATATAGAGTTTATTTGCATTACATTCCTAGAAACAATGTTTGGTTTTGAAAAGAGCATAGATACACTATGTTTGGCTGTAATGTGATAATTGTGTTTCCAAGAAAGCTTATACTGTTAGAGATTATTTTATAAACTATTGATTCAGTGGGAAAAGTTTGGGAATGGCAGTTGGATGGTTTCAGATTTACAACTGAAAAGTTATTTTGCAGATAGGCATTTTAGTGAGTAGGTGAGTCAGTCATCGCAGATGTATAAAGGTTAGCCTACACATCACGGAGTGATTCTTTCATTTGAACGCACTGATGCTTCTCACACAGAGTGGCCTTTCCCTCCGCTTTCCACCAGCATCATCAATTTCCAGGCATCTCACGCATTCTAGATAATATTCTCACTCACTGTTACAATGTTGAATGCACAGAGCTACTCAAAGTGTCTGTATTGCCTGGACAATAACCCTGGGTAACAACCAATTACTGGCTTCTTGGGCAAATTCTGTTCCCAGGATAATCTACCTCTTTTTAGCCATTTAAAATAATATAACCTCTTGCTATAGAATTAATGTCTGTATTGACTTTCATTTCCATTTTTAAAATAAATTAAACTTCCCACAACCCATTTCCAGGTTAGACTGAATAGCAACAATGGTGATGATAATAATAGTAATAAAATGGATCTTACTTATTGAGAGCTTACTCTAATGCTTCAGTACCGTTCCAGTGTCACTGGTGAAAGTCATTTGGTGTTGCAGTATTTTACAGTGAACGAGCGCATCAGACAACCGCTTCTCCGTGGTTCAGCTGCAGCCTATATTCCCCGGGCTACTAAATTGTAGCCACAAACCAGGGATCCAAATAATAACAAGAAGACTCCTAATCTCTGAGTGTTTAACCTAGGTGAAACTCGCTAAATACTTTGTACATAGATTATCTTATTCAACCTGAACAACAAAAGCTAACAGATAGGTACAGTGATGCTCGTTTTATAGGTTAAAAACAGTAAGCTTCAGAAAGTTGAGTATCTCCTCTAGGATATTACAGCTAGGAGTGTATCAAATCATGATTTTAACCTAGGTACAGGCAACTTCAAGGTTTGAACTTTAAATCATGGCTTCATTTGAGGGGAACAAAAGAATTATTATAAATAATTTTATGTGTCTCAACATAGCAGAATGTTTAAATTTCTATTAAAGATAGACTACCTTACAAAGCGAGGTATAAATTATAAAACAAACAACTTTATTAGAGCCACACTCAGTGTGTCCATATCCTAAGCCATCATCTGCTTCCATGGAACATCTGTGAATTGGCAGAGCTGGACTAGCTGTCTGAACTCAACACAAGCTACAGACTTAAGTTTATAAAGAACTTGCGTATATATTTATACACACATATATGTATATATACACACACACATATATATATGTATATACATACACATATATACACATACACATATATTCAGAGGGAAAGTTAGGGCAGGAGGAACACTGTCCAGACAGATTTGGGGTCATGGAAAGAAAACTGTTTTCTGGCCCTTTGATTTTTAATATGTGTCTTTTTTTTTAACTTGTATTTTAGGTTCAAGGGTACATGTGCACATTGGTCATATAGGTAAATTGCATGTCAGAGTGGTTTGGCATATGGATTATTTCATCACCCAGGTAATCAGTATCCAATCAGTAGTTTTCTCTACTCTCCTTCCTCCCACCTCCACTCTCAAGTGGATTCTGATGTCTGTTGTTTCCTTCCCTGAGTCTCTGTGTACTCAACGTCCAGCTCCCACTTATAATTGAAAGCATGTGGTATTCGATTTTCTGTTCCTGTGTTAGTTTGCTTAGGATGATGGCCTCCAGCTCCACACACGTCACTGCAAAGGACATGATGTTGTTTTTTTTTTCTTTATGGCTGCATATTATTCTATGGTGTATATGAAACATTTAACCTTTGCCTGGATTCAAAAAGACTTCCGAATAAACGAAAGCCTTCCCCAACCCCTTGCCAACCATACCTCCTCAATTCAGAATAGAGACATAAAGCTCTTCTTTCTGCAGTCGCCAGGAGAAAATACTTTATGATCTAAAACCAGTGTTAAAGTTGTCTATATCTAATAACACTGTGGAGCAAATAAATTCATTTGCTTAATTAGGGGTATATCTGGTAACTTATTTATCTTCATCAAGGGTTCACTGGAAAACTACACTGCTTAAAAGTTGATCATGATGGAGATTATTTTGATATATGTTAATGCCTCCATGAGCAAATGCTATGGGCAGTTTTAAGATGTTCCAGATTAAATCATCACAGCCATACTCCTATAACAGTATTTATGGATCATAAACTATATGATTTATCTACAGTATCACGTATCTATACGATACCTGATTTATCACAGTACTAATTTCTTTACATATACTATCTCATTTGGATCTTACAACACCTTCAAATATATAGGCACTAATACCATTCTCAATTAATTGATGAAGCATTTGAGGCTTAAATAGGTAAATTGCCTTGAAATAAAAAACTACATTCATAACCAACTGGTTAAACTTCACCATTCAATTTTTACGGCCAATAACGTAGAACTTGGGGCTTAAACGAGCCAATTATTTGCAATTATTTGCATGAGGGTTATAGTGATCAACACCTACCTTCTGTTTCACAGTGGGCAAGTCTATGCAAACCTGTCCCCAAAGTCCAAGGAGGCTGAGAGGCCAAAGAAAGAGGCTGGCAAATCCAGTCTCTTAAAAAGAAACATTTAACAGTGTCTTACAAACAGAAGCCACGTCTGTGTCTTAGGGGACTAGACAAGAGAATGGATCCCCGCCATTAGCCCCAGACCTGGAGCTCATGTACCAGGGAAAGGGTGGTTCAGAAGAGACATGCAGGACAACTGAAGTATGACAACATCACAGTTGTTTGACCTACAGGCAGGATTTATGCTAAGTGCCTGCTCTAACACAAGGAACAATCGATAAACTGAAAATCTTGGAGGCCTTCCTGGAACTGGGGTTCATCAAAGCCAACATGGGAGATTAGCTTCCAAGACAGAGTCTCTTGGCCTTAGTGGTGCTGCCTGCAGCATTCTAGCACCCACCTCCACATAAAAGCGAGAGGTGGTTCCCATTTATATCGGAGTCTTGGAAGGATCCATACATTTCATGCAGGGATGTCAGTCACGGCCAGCTGATACACTTATACAACATTACTGAGACCATAACTTTACAGTTTTTGTTCTTTCAATGTATCTCAAGGCCTGATTCTGAGAAATAATACTGCTGGGGAATTGTACAAATGATATGCATTTCATTCTTCTGTTCTTCACTGCATAAAAGAAACAAACTGTGAACTCGGACTTTATCTGCCTGACCCCAGATGGAGGAGCTTGTACTGCCTTGTCATTAGTGTTGGGCTCTTGACTTACATGGAGGGGTGCATTTCGACATGCCGCAGAAAGGTTTCCCAGGACGGGCAATCAGAGGAGGTTTGTCATCTGCTCATCACCCAGTATCTTCCTTATTAATAATACTCAAGAGGGAATTTTGTCTGAATACTTCAGAGCTGGTCGTGGGGATTGGGGGAGGTAAAAACAACAGAAAATAAAGTTTCATTCAAAAATTTAATCTGTATTTTTCAATGTTTTCTTCCTTTTTATTGATACATAATAATGGTACCTATTTATGGGGAACCTATGATATTTCGATACATACGTACAATGTGTAATGGTCAAATAGAGTAATTAGGACATCCATCACTGCAAACATTTGTCACTTTTTGTCATTATTTTTCAATGTTTTCTTCCACTTTACTGATACAAAACAATGGTACATATTTATGGGGAACCTGTGATATTTCGATACACACATACAATGTGTAATGGTAAACGAGGGTAATTAGGATATCCATCACTGCAAACATTTGTCATTTCTTTGTGTTGAGAGAACTTCTGTATTAGTCTGTTTTCATGCTGCTGATAAAGACATACCTGAGACTAGGTAATTTATAAAGAGAAAGAGGTTTAATGGACTCACAGTTCCACATGGTTGAGGAGGCCTCACAATCATGGTGGAAAGTGAAAGGCATGTCTTACATGGTGGCAGACAAGAGAGAATTGAAAACCAAGTGAAAAGGGTTTCCCCTTATAAAGCCATCAGATCTCACGAGACTTGTTCACTACCACAAGAACAGTATGGGGGAAACCACTCCCATGATTCAATTATCTCCCACTGGGTCCCTCCCACAACACATTGGAATTATGGAAGCTATAATTCCAGATGAGATTTGGGTGGGACACAGCCAAACCATATCAATTTCAAATCTCTTCTAGCTATTTTGAAATATACAATAAATTATTGCTAACTATAGTCATCCTATTGTATCATCAAACACTAGAACCTATTTCTTCATCTAACTGTATGTACCCATTAACCAACCTCTCCTTATCTCTCCACCCTTCCCAGCCTTCAGTTACCATCATCTATGCTCTGCCTTCATGAGGTCAACTTCTTTAGAGTCTACATATGAGTGAGAACATGCATGACCCGTCTTTCTGAGCCTGGCTTATTTCACTTAGCATAGGTCCTTCAGTTCCATCCTCACTACCGCAAATGACAAGATTCCCTTCCTTTTATGGCTGAATAGTATTCCACTGCGTATATGCACCACATTTTCTTTATCCATTCATCTGTTGATGGACACTTAGGTTGATTCCACGTCTTGGCTATTGTGAATAGTGCTATGATAAAATAAGTATTTCTCAAAAGGAGACATACACATGGCAAATACGAATATATTTAAAATGTTCAACATCACTAATCATCAAATACAAATCAAAAGCACAATGAGATACCATCTCACCCCAGTTAAAACAGCTATTATCAAAAGGACGAAAAAATCAATGCTGGCAAAGATGCCAAGAAAAGAAAACTCTTGTACACTGTTGATAGAAATGTAAGCTAGAACAGCCACTGTGAAAAACAGTATGGAGGTTCCTCAAGAAACTAAAAGTAGAACTCTGATCCAGCAATCCCACTTCTGAGTATGCACCCCAAGGAAAGGAAATCAGTGTGCCAAAGAGACACCTGCACCCCATATTTATGCAGCACTGATCACAATCGCCAAGATGTGGAATTAACCTGTACTTTTGTGAAAAATTGAATTATTTAAATGCTTCATTTTGCCTTTTCTTCTAGCCTCGTGCCAGCAACTTAAATCTATCAGCAATGGAGAATGCCTGGCATTGGCTTCTGCATGAGTGCCGTTTTAGTTGCTTTGTATTCTTCTACCTTGATTTTTTTTTCTGTTTTTCTACATGAGTGTTGCCTGCAGAGTTCCCTGATTGACTCAAAGTACATCTTCTATATTGCTTCAAGTAGTGCTGGTCATGAACACAATTCAGTCTTAGTCAGCTATTGGAACTGATTGACTGCAAAGTTCTGGTGCCTCTTCTCGCAGCCCAGGGCAGATGGACGTGCTATGTGGGGCCCGTACAAAACAGAATCATGGAGCTGGTGGGGCAAGGAGTCAACCTCCCTCCTAGGGCCTGCAGCCTCCACCAGGGCAGAGAGCAAGTTTCTCTCAGCTTCTGCTCTCAGGTGGTGACCTGGCAGGGAGGACAGCTTGGCAGTAGGTGCAGGCACTGGACGGGGACCTCCTGGCTCCTCTCCTAGCTCTTGCAGCACCAGCCATAAGGCACTCAGATCATGCAACTTCCCGGTGTCTCCGTCTCTGCATCTTTAAAATGGGGCTAATAAGAACACTTTTCTCATAGACTTATAAAGAGAATTAATTAAAAAAAATAATGCTTGGCTCAGAATGTACACTCCATGAACATCACCTGTTACCACTTAAGAAGGGTGCGTACCCTCCAGCCGCATCCATGCCAGTTCCCGTTGTCTCACCCTGGGCCAGCGACACCCATCTTAAGTCACAATTGAGAATACAAGCAAGACACGCTGAAATCTACCAGAATAAAGGTCCATCTTCACAGAACAAGCCTGTTTACACTTGAACCCACAGTTTTTCAGTCATATCCAGACTTCAAGGAGGGAAGAGGGCTCCACCGCAGGCTTCCTGTAGCAAGCATGGGGGCCATATCTGAGTCCCCTGTGGCGTTCTGTCACCATAGACTGTGACTTTCAAACAGCACAGTCACTTCTCACAGTGTTAAAGGTCAGAAGTCCCAGATCAAGGTTCTGGCAGATCTGGTATCTGGTGAGTATCTGCTTCCTGGGTCATAGATGGCGGCTTCTCACTGTGTCCTCACATGGTGGAAGGAGTGAGGAAGGAGTGAGGGAGCTCTCCAGGATCTCTTTCAAAAGGGCTCGAATCCCATTCATGGGGGGTCCACCTTTATGAGTTCATCATATCCTAAAGCCCCCACCTCCTAACACCATCACCTTGGGGGTGAGAATTTCAGCATGTGAATTAGGGGGAGACTCAAACATTTACACCACAAACAGGCAAAGAGCCTGCAGCTGCTAGTGAGGCCACGGCATCTCCCTCCTGACCAATCTCCTCTTCTGCAAATTGCAGCTGCTGGGACAGGACCCAGGAGGTTCCGGAGGATCAGGAGGTCCACCTGGGAGAAGAGCTGATCGGCTAGTAGGAGAGCTGGAAAAGCAACAGACACCTACTTAGTCCCTTCCCTGGGGCCCGGCTCCAGTCTGAGCTGTCACGCCACAGCAAAGGCATCACTTCAGGACAGCAAAGCCCCTGTCTCCCTCCCTTCCAGCTCCTCAGACTTCACCCTGGTAACACGTTTGTTTAAAAAACATATTTTTCCCCCTTGTAAAGAATCTAGGATACAAGGGGTCAGCCCAGCAGTTTAGGTATCAAGAAGAAACTGCTCTCGGAGCTAAAGTAAGAAACAGTGCCTGTCTATAGCGCAAATAAAGAGTTGGAACAAGATAAAAGGCAGTGATCCTTCACCAGCCAATCTCCAGGTGGATCTCAGGAATCCTGTGTGATGTGTGACATCATCTGGGAAAGCCCCGCAGTTGCCATGGAGACGCACCTCCCAGGCCTCGGGAAGCTGCCCCACCTCTCTGCCACCTTCTTCCAGACTGGTCATGGCAGGCTGGCTCTGATCTGGGTCCCAGACAGAGGGGAATTGGTTTGCCTTTTTTCTTTTCTTTTCTTCTTTTTTTTCTTTTCTTTTCTTTGTAAACTGCAATGACCGTGTGTGTGTGTGTGTTTGTGTGTGTGTGTCTGTGTATGCATATATATAAAGAAAGAGAGAGAAAAAAAAACAGAGTGCCCCACGACGCAAGGTGCCCACCTTGACAAATACACTGTGGGCAGACAATAAACCCTTATGAGGTTCTGGAGTGGCAGCAGCAATGGCCTCCTGCCCTCCTGGCGGGCTGGAGCCTCCTCCTGGCAGGTGGGGTAGGGTTGAAACATCAGAAATGCCGAGAAATGTCTCGGTGCAGCCTGATTACAGAGACACTTGTGATCCATGATTTCTGCTGCTCCACTGCTGAAAAAAAGAAAAAGGCCTGGAGTGCCTCATCCGCTGTGGTTTCTCTCCCATTTAAGTAAAATTGGAAACTTTTTTAAAAAGAAAGCACAATCATGTAATTAGTGCAGGCTCTCTTTTCTGGTTTTTTGAAAAGAGGCATTTTCACACACACCTTAGTCCATCTTAAACCCTTTCAACGTTCTGCATGCTCTTCCTAATTCCAGAGAGACAGAATTTTTATTTCCTTCGATCGCAGGGATACCTACAATGGAATTTACGTCTCAATTAACAGTTTGACCAAGGGTTTACAAGTGGTTGAATGGAGTACAAATGAAGAATTCGAAGAAACGCAAAGAGAGAAAGTGGACCGCCCATAGACACCTGCTCTATGCAAACAATGGACTCCTTCCCTTTATCTTAAGGGGTCTTACGCTACCTGTTTCTACGTCCTTTGCTGGTTCCCATGACAGAAATACACACGTTTCAGACAAGATTAAAATACAAAATCCCAACCATAGCCTCATCTTTGCACACACACTCTCTCATTTCCTGTTGGTACCAGCACTTTTCTATTTCGGTCCTGGGTATGGCTCACTAACCTACAGCAGCTTCCTCATTTGCACTTGACGTCTTCCCAAACAGCATTTAAGGGACGGAGCACAGCCCAGAAGGCAGAAGCGAAGGACAACTGCCAACCCCAAGGGGGAGCAGAGATCTGGGAAGGAAGACACTCATGGTAAAGGTAAAACCAAAGAAATCACACGCCTAGGAAATAACAGATTCTTCTGCATAAAATAGACTTGTGAGAAACTAATTGCTACAGATTTTATCTCGCCCAAAATAAACCGCAGGGAAGATATCATGAGCATACTGTAACGCATAAAATCTTGACACTCGTGCTAAAATACTCAAAATATACCCTGGAAGGTTGGAGCTTGTCTTCAGTGTTGGGTTCTGCAAATTATTTCAAACAGCTCGCCATATTTGTGGTATCACATTGAACCGGGTGTGAGAGGCGGGGAAGAAACAAAGTAGACACAGCTCTTCCTTGGAGATGTCTATCCCAGAAGGCGGTTTCCGAACAGCCCAGGAGAGAGGAAAGCTCCATTTCAGAGATGCAGACATGTTGGCCAGGACCGCGGAGGGAGGTGGCCAAAGGACCCCCTTCTCAGAGGCAGGGACTTGGAATTTCTGCCCCACGGCCTCTGGGAGAGTGGAGGCTGCTCTCGGGCAATTATCCCAAATGATTGTTTATCACTCCCAGTTCCAGAAGGCCTGGAAAGATTACATTCCAGAGACTTGATCACTGAAAATGCCCGGGTGGAAGCTGTAATTACGGCTTTCTCAGAGCCTACAGCATCTCCCCTGGGATTATTTGCATAAAGTCATTTCCTGTGGCAATTGCTGAACACAACAGTGCCCTCACTGTCATCCTACAGGCCATGAAGAGGGCTGCCTAGGCGAGTGTTTCAGCATAAATGTGTGCTCAGCAACCTCTGTGCGGCTGCCTCTTTGTAAAAATAAACATGCGGTGGAGTTTCTCTGTCCCCCGTCAAGCCCTGCAGTTAATTATAGGATATCTGGAGTCGTCAAGCATTCCCATGGAGCATGGAGGGAGGTGACTTTACAACTAGCAGGTTTCCATCAGAAGGTGACGGCAGTGACAGTGGAGCTCAGACTGGACTGGCGCTCCCCTTACTAGAAACCAGAGGGAGAGGAAATCAAGAGCCAGGGCGGGGTGAATTTCAAACAGCCCAGGGCTGGAGCCGGAACGGGAACCCCAGCTCCACCTCATCAGGGCCAAATAACCAGCTGCTATGAGGGGGCAACATGCTATCGGGATAAAGCATATGAAACCATAGAACCTTCAACAATAGGGCGTGAAGAAAAAAACAGAAAAATAAGGCCACACGGGCCCAGAAGGAATGCATTGCTCAGTGGCCCCAACAGAGAAAGTGGAACCACGTGAGATATTTCCATAAAACTCAGTCTGCACTCTCAACCCCATGGTGGAAGTCACAGGGACTACCCTTGAAGAGGCTCTGTACATCCTACAGGAGCCTGCAGAGAAAAAGGCAAGCAGCTGGGAAAGAACTGGATGCAGGGGCTTGGTGGGGACAATGTCCCCCTTCTACTCACAGCGGAGTGGGTCGGGAGGAGAGCCCTGTGGTGAGATCCCGATAGGCAGAGGCCGCGCTTCCTGATGCCTTCCTGAGGAGGAGTTCAGGAGCTTTCTCTCACTTCTCTTCTCTGAACAATGCCATGCCTGTCATGCTGTAGCTCCCTGTTCCAAACCACATGCACATGTATACATGCCTATACACACATATGTGGACACATGCAGACGTACACGTACAGGCAGCCACACACATGCATACATGCCTATACACACATGTATGTGTACACAGAGATGTACACATACAGACAGGCACACACATGCTTATATAGGTGCGTACATGCATGCACACATTGTACGTGTGTACACATAGGCATGTGCACACATACATGCACATGTTAACACACATATAGACATGTACTTTCTTGCACACAAACCTACATACACATAAAGATTTACACGTGCACATGCATGTGCACATATGCAAACACAGGCACAGGTACATGTACCATACAGGCATCCACATACACATGTGTACACATACCACATGGGCATGTAGACATACATACACAGAACATTCAAATTGGCTTTTTTTTTGAGAGAGGGTCTTGCTCTGTCACCCAGGCTGGAGCACAGTGACATGATCATGGCTCACTGCTCCTCGACCTTCTGGGCTCGAGCAACCCTCCACCTCAGCCTCCTGAGTAGCTGGGACCACAGGCAGGCACCACCACCCCTGCCTAATCTTTTCAAATTTAATAGAGACAAGGTCTTAACCTAGGTCTCACTATGATGCCTGGGCTGGTCTGGAACTCCTGTGCTCCATTGATCCTCCTGCCTTGGCCTCCCAAAGTGCTGGGATTATAGGTGTGAGCCACCATGCCCAGCTGACTTATTCTTCATATTAACTTTACTTACACTACTAATTGTTTGCTTAAACGTCAGTCTGCCTCCTAATTTCCAATCTTATAGGCAAGGATGATGACCTAACACCCATCATAAATGACCCATGAAAACTTTGAGCTGCTAGATTCACCTTGACTTTTATCTTCAGCCACTTTGCCATGGGAGCCCCTTAGATGACCCTAGAGGATCTCAAACAAATGCTTCCCAAGAATGCACTCCAATAAAGTACAGAATGCCACTGTTTCCCAGGCAAGGACTGACGCCAGTGTGTGTCCAGCCATGCACAGGAAAGTAACAATGCAATCTTACACACTTTCATTTGTCATAGTGCATGATTTCTTTAAAAGGAAATACCTAAAACACTCAGACTTAGCCTTCAAGGGAGCATCACCTAGGAAAGGTTTTCTCCCCTCTCCTGACTGTGGCACAAAACGAAGAATCTCCAATGTGCACGGGGACACTTTAATGAGATTTCCGTGACATCACTCTCTTTCTTCCCGTGCCTGATGATTCACGGCAGGCTTTTCAGGTTTCTTTGGTGCAATGGTCCAATTACAAACTTTATGCAAAAACGGTGTCAGGTTACAACATGTTGCAGAAGCACACGGGCAGGACATGGGCAGATTCGTTTCTGATGGATGTTTTGCGGTGACTAAGAAGCAGCTCCCAAGAGTGAAATGTTCTCCACACGTCTCAGAACCACCGGTGGCACCTCGGCCTCTGTCACAGCAGCATCGCTGCCCACGCCAGTTGCCCATGCAAACTTTGCAGGGCAAGTGGCTGCATCCGCTGGCTCTCCTATTCCGTGCACCACTGCCCTCCTCTACACACAGGGAGATGGCAGATCACTTTTCCTCTTTCCCATCTTTGTGAGATGAGAAAGTTTTCCTTGATATTGTCTCCTGTCAAATTCTAAGGTATGGGCTGATGCATGCCTTCCAAGGAAGACAGATCAAGTATCAAGGCAGCTCACCCCAGACCACCACTGAATTTCCAGCATTTCTACCCCAAACCTACTCTTTTGGAGATCTAACAAGCACCCCAAATGAATTTTCACATTTTTCTCCAATTCCATTGTTACAAATATTTTCATCTATTCATTTTAGTTTGTATGCATCGAGCAGTGTTATAAACACAATTTTGCCCTCCCCCATAAATTCATACGCTGAAGCCCTGATCCCCACAACCTCAGAATGTGACTGTATTTTCAGACAGGACATTTTAAAAGGTGGCTAAGTTAAAATGGTTATTTTAGGATGAACCCTAATCCGATGTGACTGGTGTCCTTAGAAGAAGAGGACATTTGGATACGCAGAGACACACAGAGGAATGACCCTGTGAGGACACGATGAAAGATCACATCTACAAGTCATGAGAGAGGCCTTGGGAGAAACCGACCCTGCCCATGCTTTGATCTCGACTTCCAGCCTCCAGAGCTGTGAGAAAATAGATTTCTGGGTTTCAGCTGCCCAGTGTGTAGTATTTGTTATGGCAGCCTGCATAGAATAATACAAGCACTCGAGGTGTCCCCGGCATTGTTACGGGTGAAGGAGACATGGTGAATGAACACCAGGCAATGCCCTCTTGTCTTATGTTCTAGTGGAAAATCCACATACAATTTGCTGAAGAGCGTAGCTGAACGAGTGAGTGTATAAATGAATTAATAAATAAACTATTTTTCCAGAGTTCACAAAAATTTAAACTTGAAGTGAGAGTATTTAGATGGTTTGTTTTCTAATTCAATGTATGCCAAAGGATAAGAAATAATGAAAGTATTTTGTTCCTGTTTCTACATATTTCTTTTTCAATCCACAATATTCATGACTGAGATCTTGAAAATGATCAGGGATTCCCATCATCAATGACTTGTAGAAAGGCAATGACCTTGTGGATCTTATCAGAGGCAGTGCAGTCCAAGGGTTACTTATGACATGGCTGTAATTCCCCATGTCTGCTGGTGATACTGTGGACTAGAACAGAGTTTCTCAACCCTGATTCCACATAGAAAGCAACCAGGGAGCTGTGAAATGCTTATGCCTGGGTCCTGCCCCCAGAGAGTCTGATGTGATGGATCTGGAGTGAGGCCTGGGCATCAGAGATGTTTAAACCTCCCCTACCCCACCCCAGCTAATTCTAAGACTCAGTCAAGACCAAGAGCTTCTGCTTTGGAACATGCCGAGTGAGGTTCCGGCATTCCCAGCCCACTCCAGCTTCCCAGTAGGACTCAAAACTGCCTGCTTTGCCCATCACCTTGAATCCTTGAGCTTTGCTGAGGGTCAGGCTGCTGAGTGTGGATAGCAATCCGATGCAATCCAACAAGTCTTTACTAAGAGCCTGTGGCAATGGACAGTTCATGCAGGAATACTTATTTATAAGGTGTCCCCCCAAACTCAAGGTATTTACAGTTTTTGGGGGGTGGAGGAGGTTCAGGGGCAAGTCCAGGGGGTTGAAGCAGACAGGGAGAGAAAACATACCCATTAAGCACTAGACAGTTTGGATTATGTCTTCTGAGTGAGAACTGAAGTCGCAGGGAACCCGCTGTGAGTCAGCAGGTTCACCTGAAGCCATCCGTTTTTACCACAGTGCTGTGCTCTTACTGTTATTATCCCCACCTCATAGACTAGTAAACGAAGGCCATGTCACTTTCCCAGAGTCACATGGCCAATGAGGGCAGAGCTGCCCTTGACCTTAGGTCTGAGACGCCTCAAAGCCTCACTCTTTCAATCATAAGACTTGGTCAATTATAGCAAGTTCTAGAAGACTTCAAAGAACAACATCAAACACAAAGGATACATACAGGCAAGTGCATGTGCCTGTCTCTGTGGCCCATTCTTTCTAACGATTTACCCACAGGCCTTTCTGAAAAGCCTCAGCGCAGAGCTGAGCCCCAACAGGCTGGAGGCAGCGGTCATCTCCTGCCTTCTGGGATGTGGCTTGATCCTAAGTGTCCTGTTAAAGTGATCAAGAACCTCCCCAACAAGACGCTCTGGGTTCTGCTCAGGGTGACTTTATCTCTTGTTCTACAAGCAACCTTTGGGTGCTGAACTCAATCCTGTTTTACTTGTCTCTCAAATCTAGTTCTTCACATGGAGGCCTGTGATGGACTCGTTCAAGATCTTGCCCCCATGGCCTCGGGACTGCACTAATTCCTCAACTCCCCCTCCAGCCCCTCTCAGTCAGACAATAGCCTCATCCACAACACCACAAATGTGAGTGTGATGCCCCCTCAGCTGGTCTTTTGATGGCATTTCATTAGACTCCCCATAAAGCCCCAAGTACTCAACAGCTCACATCCATCCCCACAATGACATAAATCTTCACCTTCCCTCCAGGGTCTTAGTTCTATAGGTTCTCATTCCTCTTCACTCTGGGGAACTGGCTCAGCTTTAGCTTTGACTAGATATCATCACTCTTTCTTATCTCTGGACCTTCACACTTTCGGGGGGATACTAGGTCTTTGGGCCCAAAACTTTATTGACTCAAGTAATTCCTAAAAGCCCATTTCTCAGAAGAGCCTTCTTGGATGTGCGAAAAAGACACAGTGCCTTCCACACACACACACTCCTGTGATCCCCAGCTTGCTCTCCTGCGGGGGAACTTGTCACCACAGGCTGTGGATGCTCTGTGATGGATTCCGCATACACACTCTCGTTTCTGTGTTCACTTGTCCACAAGAGCTGTACATCAGCATGGCCTTGCCTGAGATTTTAATGCTTAGAGCATGCATTCATCTCCTTGCTTCTCACCAAGATTCCCTTTCTTGGTGCAAAGCTGGATTATCAGGCGGAGGCCTAGCAGGCAGCAGAATTGCACTCTTACCTTTCAGAGGAGAGACACTGATGGAAAGACTATTTACAGATTTTGGGGCAGAGCTAAGGGTCTCTGAAGGGGTGCTGGGGCCGCTTGAGCCCAGCAATAGCAGGAAGGCTGGAGAGAGCAAGGAAGGAAATGGAGCTGCCAGCACTCAGTGGGACATGGAGCTACGGAGAAGCAGCCGACCAGCGGTGGCCACTAACACCCTGGATGGACACAGGGGCTGCCCGTGCGCTAATGCTCCAAGAGCAAAGAGAAAATACCACATCCTCCCTCTTCTCCGTCCTCCTGTCTCCAGCCAGTGACTTTCATTGGCCAACCCCACAGGAAGGCAGCCAGCCAGGGAGCTGGTTAGTACCATCCTTTAGGGTCAGCCTCCCAGGACAAGATCAGGACATCAGTCATGGAGAATGGGTGAGAGGCAGGGGATGGAGTGGGAAAAACCCAAAACCTGTTGATTCTCAGTATAATCAGCTGGCAGAAGGTTGGGCCATTGGGAAAGGAATCATCAGATGTTGAGTTTGCTCAGATGTAACCTTGACTTAGGAAAAGTTCCTTTTGGAATATCAGCTCCAGGGAGACTGGTTGCTGTCATGTTACTCAAGGATGAACCCCCATCAGTTCCAGCAATGCCTGGCACAGCTTACGGGCTTCATTAGTGAATTAATTAATTAAACATTTAACATGTCTTTGAGTAAAAAAAAAAGTGTTGGGTGTTTTGTGAGGGCTTCTGATAGAACAGTAGTTTGTCCATGTTTTCCCACTTTCATGGGGGCGGAAGTCACCCTGGATGAGTGGGATTTATAAAGGCCATGCCTCCAAATGCATGAGAAACATGAGGCTGCAAGGCTGCCTCTGAGACTGGGAGTGAAACCCTCCTCTCTGGGTCTGTATCTTCTCTCACTTCTACATCCTCTTTCCCAGAAGTATAAATTATGATGCTCATTGAACCCTCCCAGCCTCCTCCAAATTTAGAATTTTAGAATCATTTTATTTTAAGAAATGTCTTTTAAGGTGAGCAAATTCACATCATCAATACATGTTGGCTTTAACCTTCAGATCCGGTCACAGCATTTCTGATTAAACTTCTTACCTCCCTGCTACACCAAGCCTTTGAAATATTATTTTACAAAATAGTTGCTGTTGGACATAAATAGAATTTCTCTCCTGCTCTATTCTGTGTGGCTTACTCGTATATCTTCTGTGTCCATTTCCACCATTTCCTCATTCTACCTGATGAAATCTATGCTATGGGAAGACAGGCATTTTTGACTCCTTTGTTTAACAACGTATCTCAAAGAACTAGAACAGCAGCTGACTCATATAAGTGAGCAACAAAAATGTGTTACACAAGTGAAAGGTTTCAGTGTTTACGCCACTTGAGACATTGCCCTAGATGCAGTGGGTGTTACTGTGAGAAATCATAGCCTCAACCTTTGAAATACTTGTAGTCTAGCATAGCACAGAAGAGCAGGGACTTTATTCTGAATTATCCTCTAGCTCTCACAAGAAAAAAAGAGGTGAGGAGAAACATCAGAAGAGGAGAGAAAATAAATTACAATGAGTTACCTTATTTTCCTGTAGGTATTGGGCATTTGCACTCTCTTCCTGTGAAATATATATGTATAATTGTTACTTTGTAATATTTTCACATTCATTTATAAAAGTAAAGATGTCCATTATATTTATATATCACTCTGTTACATATATTGTGAGGATGTTTTTTCTGATTCATCATGGATCACATACTTTGTTTTCCATATCAATTGCCGTAAATGTTTATTAACGAACTCGTAAATAATCATATCTGTCAACATGGTTTTAGAATGAGAGAAAATATAAACAGAGAAATGTGCCCCTGGTGGGGAAAAAAGAAAAGGAGAAAGAAAAGAAGGCTCTGTAGGTTTATGTGCGATGCTTCCAAAACCCCACAAATGGAGCTGCTCACCAGCCGTCCTGCAGTGCCTGTCCTGGGGCCCTGTGGTCACCAGAGGGTCCATGTGGGGTAAATCCTACTGTGAAACTGGGCTCACTCTCTCTGCGGCTCCCATCTGCCCTATTCTACCCATGTCTCTGCTTCTGCTATTGCTGTTTTCTATGCCTGAATCCTCTTCTTCTCTCCCATCTCCTGTTTGCCTGGCAAACTCCTACTCATTCCTCAATGCCCACTCACCCACCCTTTTTGCTGTGAGAGCTTCCCGGCTCACTGATCTTTTAAGATCTTGCTACTACTATGGTTGATAAGAACAACAGCTTACACTTCCCGAGGATTTGTAACGTGCCAGTACCTGGAATGAATCAATGTCTTTATGCATTTCTCTACACTAAGTCCTCAGAGTACAGAAACCACAGCACAGAGAAGTGAAGTGCCCAATTCAGCCCAAGTACACTTTGTCATTTCTCCCATGTATCTCTTTACCCATTAACTTTTGAGGGAAAGAACCGCGTTGCTCATTTCCTCGTATCTTCAGATCCCTGTACAAGCTGAACGCTTACCGGATGTGTAATAAGTATTCATTGAAGAGTTGGGTAATTACTCTCTTGAAATCCTGGGTATCTCATCCCAACTACTCCCCCATCTGCGAGGTACCTGTTAAATTATTTTATGCCAAGGTGAAAAAAGTAAAGGTTTTGGCGTTTGAAAAGAGGGTTGAATACAAAATGTAATGCTTAGCCTAAGATAAGTGGTAGAATTTTAGGTCAGCGTCACCCTGGAGGATGCTTTCTGGAATCCTTCAATTTACACAGCTGAGTGGATTCCTTAAAAGTGCTGTGGTTCGGAGGCTTAAGAGTGGAGCAGGGCCCTCCTGCTGGCGGGAGCTGCTTCCTTCTGCCTTCGCGCCCACAGCATCCCAGGCTATGTTCATCAAAGCAGACAACACGCAGCTTCCAGTACAGCTGCTGCAGGAATGGAAAGCTAAACGATTCCAAGCGTGGAAGGGGAATGAATGCTGAGAAATATGGCAACCATGTGGGAGAGTCTTTTGGTCCTCACCGCAGACACCACGGGTGAGACACAAAGGAATCTGACTTGTAATAGAACAGGAAAGACAACAGCAGCAGCAACAACAACAAAAACAGCAATAATAAAGGTCAACACATACAATAGTCACTTTTGCAAGGTGTCGCTCTCAGTTCTTAACAGGTGCCAATTCACCGAGCCTTCTAATAGCCTTGTGTGGCAGATACTCATTCTCATTTTATGGAAGAAGAAATCGAGAAAAAGAAAGACTATGTAACTTGCTGAATGTCATACAGCTAGTAGCAAAAGATAAAAAGTGTAAAAAGGACCCTCCCACCATCATACCCCAAACACACGAATAAAATACTGGAAATAAAAGGAATAACTTAAGCACATAAGATTGAAATTTACATATAACATAGAAATGGAATACAGAATGATGTGTTTTTAGATATTGGCAATTCATCAGAGTTAGTGACTTTGGAAGTGTAAATAGAATAGAGGCAATAACCTCATCTTGAGTTAAGATTTTAATATCTTATTCGTAGTGGATGTTTTTGCATTAGTTTTGACTTTAAAATTGCATTAAGGTATTATTTGTCTTGATTACTGACTTGTTTGGCAACCCTTTAAGTGATGTTTAAGGCAAATGTGCCCAGGATGGACACAGCCGGATGGACGTGAAAGCCTCCAGAGCCCAGAGTATGAGAAACAGCGTTCCCGTGTGGGCAGCAGGTTCACAGAAGACAGAACAGATGCCTGAAGGGGAAAGGGCAGAACCCTCCAGAAAGGGCTGGAATCGCAGGAAAAGACCTCTTGGATTCCTGCCTCAACTGCTTACAATTCCAATTTGGTTTTTTTTGTTTTTTTTTCTTTACAGCTGGGGGTGGAGGAGATAAAAATGCTAAATGAAGCTGAAAATTCTCTTGGATCAGAAATTAAACATAAAACAATGAGTCTAAGAGGAAGAATTTAAAACAGTAGTTTTGTAAAATTGAGTTTTAGTGTTAAGAATATTCCAGTTGGCCACCAACACTAAATAGAAATTCTTTTTTTCTTACAAGTTGGTTCTCAGATTAGTTGAGAAGAACTTTCAGTTTGATAAACTGAAGTTTGTGGAAGAGGCATCTCTCTGTATTTTAGGTGTGGTGTGCACACTCACACTCATGTAGACACCTCAAACAGTACCTTAAAAATACTTACCTAAATGACTACTCCCCAAGTGTTGAAAACTAAATAGCTGAGGAACCCAAACTTCGCTTCTCCTAAAATTTTGATTTAAAATTATAATTGCTTTGCTGTCAATGCTCATTGTATTTAATAATAGAGGTAACTCATGCTTCCTAAATAGAATTTGTAAAAAGCAGAAAAGGTGGGTGATGTTTCCAGTTTTTATTTTGTCTATTCTGTGGTCAGTTAATAAAGACTGTTGTTATAGCAGCAGTTCATTTTCTTACTTGATAAAGAAAGGACTAAATGAATATTTCTAAGTTGCCGGAGGGTGCTAAAAACACTTCAGTCTAAATTAAAATAGTTATACTATACAGTCTATAGGTTAAAAATACCGGGACTTCTATTTCTCATGTATACAGTAAAATTTTATTTATATCAGATAGTCTCCAGTTATCGCTAAATCTTCCTGATTCTACAAAACAAGAGTCAACCTACTCCAGGGTGGTACAAAATATTTACCTTCAGAAGGTAACACACAGCAAGTCAGGGAACCCGTGTGCCGGGGACAGGGGACAGCGCTCAGTGAAGCATGTGCTGGGGACAGGGGACAGGGCTCAGTGAAGAAAGAGGGTTGCTGGACAGAAGCCGGGGAGGGGCGGACTGTGGGGGACCCTCAACTCCAGGGCCCACCTGCAGGTCTGGGAACCTTCAATAGCTGGGAGGGAAATAAATAAATATAAATAAATTCTCTGCTTTTCTTTTTTTTTTTTTCTTGAAATGGAGTCTCGCTCTGTCACCCAGGCTGGAGTGCAGCAGCCTGATCTTGGCTCACTGCAACCTCCGCCTCCCAGGCTCAAGCGATCTTCTCACCTCAGCCTCTTAAGTATCTGGGACTACAGGCACTTGCCACCAGACCTGGCTTATTATTTATTTATTTATTTATTTGTTTATTATTTTAGAGACGGGGTTTCGCCATGTTGGCCAGGCTGGTCTTGAACTCTAGACCTCAACTGATCCACCTGCCTTGGCCTCCCAAAGTGCTGGAATTACAGGCATGAGTCACCTCACCTGGCCATTGCTTTTTTTTTTCCAAAGGAGATATATAAAATGTATATATTCAGGTATTTGGAGATTTTTCCTTCTGGTTAGGATATAAAACATCATAGAGAGAGACATACACAGCCTAACAGTGAGGAACAGTCAGATCGTCTCTAATATCATAGGCTCCTACAGCCTGTGGGAACACTGAGGACCCAGAAGAACCTAAATGAGCCAGAGTCTAGAAGGTAAGGAGCCTGCCCCCAAAGGAAGAGACGCAAGCTGCATCCCATGCCTGGTGGGGTGAGTAGGAGGTGAGGAGGTGAGAAGCCCCAGCAGGGTTTCTTACAAGCCCTGGTGGCCGGTGGCCACCTTGATGGACTGGAATCCCAGGGGATGCCGGCATATCCACTAGCCAGGGTTTCACCACAAGCCGGGGTGTCACCTGCAGAGGGACGAGCACACTTCATGCACACAATGGCCTGGGGACCCTCAAGACATCCTGCTGTGCAAAAAAAAGTCGACGTAAAGAACACCAAGAGTGGCTGCTTTGAGGTCGACTGCGAAGGGGCCCAGAGAACCTTGTGCTGTGGTTTGCAGGGATGCCCACGCCCAGGGTGGCCACATGGTGTTGTGTGTAATGAACACCTTAGCAAGAATAAAGCATTTGGGCAACCTGCCCGAAGGAAGTTGATCATGTATGAGTGCACGCATATATTTCAAGTTATTCAAAAATAATTCATTAACCTGCTATTGAAATAGTATTATTTCATAACTTTTACATTCTTTTTTTGCTCTTACTAGAGTAAAAGAAGATAGAAGCTTTCATTTAGAGGAATTCCTCTTTTTTTGTTTGTAAAACTTGCATAACAGCTAAGGTTTTGATTGTGAATCTATATTTTCCAGGTGTACTATTAAGATTTCACTATCTATTGAGATCTCTATTTCACCATCTGGCACAAGTTTCTAAATTCATCGTTTTCTTGACCTTTTCATTTCTACCTTTGCCTCAGCAGCCAACATTTAAACTCAGCGTCAGCCTCCTCCCATAGACATGTGCCTGGTGAAGAGGAGAGCTAAGGACTGTCAAATAAGTTATCCATTAAGAAATCCCGACGTGTTTGTATTCAAACTTGAGCTTCATAACTTTGAGTCACTAAGAAATGCAGTGATTTAATGAGAAGCAAGCCAGTTAAGGAAGTAAGCTGTTGAAGAGGGTTGAGTAAACATCTTAAGCAATGTGGCAGAGAATCAGAACATGGAGATTCCTAAGCCCTAAGACTCTGAATTTGAATTTCACGTGGGATGGGCTTTGCCAGAGAGATTTTTAAAATTCAGGATGTCGTTTCAATTAAATTACAACTCTGAATTAGACATAAATCAACCCGGTCGGTTTTGGTTTCATTTTTAGCACAAAGAGCCTATCATCTCTTGCATTTCGTTCAAAGCTAATTAAATATGGATTTATGGCTCCTGGTACCTCGAATACGGGAGGACTTCCCGAACCTGCCGGCCTTGTGGGAAGGAACTCTTTTGTGCATAGTAACTGAATGTCAGACGTTTGCCACCACACTCTGCTTCAAGGAGCTAGATGTATTTTCTAGATGTGTAAACAAGTCTCATAAAACTCTCATTGTTTTCCATGCCTAGTAACAGTGTGAATTCACCACAGACTGAAACTCTCTGTTTGCCGCCAACAGGATTCCAGCACAATGGGTCCTGTTCTCACCCGCCAGGCCTTCCTTTCTTGACATTCTTGTTCTACCAAGCGTAAGCACAGTGAGCACACATGCCATTTCCTTATTCAGACCATCCTTCCCCCTCTCTGTCCCCAGCAAAAATGTGCTGTTGAGGATTTTCAGTGACAGTGGTGGGTTAGTAAATCTACTTGGGCCAAATATATGGATGGCCTGGAAAACCCAAACGCCGATTTTGTCTCGTCGTCACTGCTGTGTCCTCTCTGGAATGACCCGCTGCCCCCGCTGCAGGTTGGAGAGAAGAAATGCCCCAAACAGAGATGCCCAGTGGCTTCTATCCACATCAAAGATAAGCCACATCGTTATGCAGAAAAATTCTGCATAACGTTCTCCTGGGAGGGGTAGGTCCAAGTCTATGAGAAAAATCTGTTTTTCAATAATGAATGGATACTAAATGCAGTAAACTATTGTAGCACAAAATGTTGCTGTGTCTCTTGGGAGGGACATGGCAGCTTTGATACCCACAGAACGATGGTCTGTGCAGACGCAGACGGGGTCGGCTCCTGCCCTCCTCACACCTCACTACAGTTTTGAGAGACGGCAGGGAGCCAAGCCACTAAAATACTTCTGAATTTAAAAAAAAAAGTGATAAAGAAAGTAATCAAAAAAGTTTTGATTAACAAAGAGAGACTTTGTTGAAAATCCATTTGAAGAGGGGGAAGTCGCAGCATGGGATGTCCGATGTAGCATGAATAACAGAGAGAATAGAGGAGGAAGTGCTGGGAGAAATCTGGACCTTTCCCAAGAAACGGCTTCTATAGAGGGGGCCCTGCTTCTCTCTGTCGGTGGCCTCTCAGGACAGCGTCAGTGTGTTTTGAACTCAGTGTTAAGAGACAAGATTGTCAAAAAGGCATGTGTCAATTATTCTGTGGTTTTTGACTACACACACATACACACACACACTCCAAAAATATTTTATGGTGTTTCTTAGTAAACAATAAATAAAAATTTCCCTTTTTTTTTTTTTTTTTGAGACAGAGCCTGTTACCCAGGTTAGAGTGAGGTGATGTGATCTCGGCTCACTGCAACCTCCGCCTCCCGGGTTCAAGTGATTCTCCTGCTTCAGATTCCCGAGTAGCTTGGATTACAGGTGCTCGCCACCCTGCCCAGCTAATTTTTGTATTTTTAGTACAGACGGGGTTTCACCATGTTGGCCAGGCAGGTCTCGAACTCCTGACCTCGAGTGATCCACCCACCTTGGCCTCCCAAAGTGCTGGGATTACAGGAGGGAGCCACCACACCTAGCCAAAAATTCCCTTTTGAAACTCAGTGCATGGTTTGTATCAGGAAAAAAAAAAAAAAGTAATAGTAGGTTCCACTCCCTGCTGCTATTGAGATGCTGAAGTCTTGTTCTGGGTCTGAGGACGGAAGCCTCTCTCTCTCTCTCTCTCTCTCTCTCTCTCTCTCTCTCTCTCTCTCTCTCTCTCTCTCTCTCTCCCTCTCCCTCTCTCTCTCTCTCTCTCTCTCTCTCTCCCCACAACATCAGTGACTACCCAAATCCACAAAATGGTGTAGTGTTTGCATATAACTGATGCACATCCTCCTGTTTCCTTTAAATCATCTCCCCACATGTGGTTGGGACCCTCTCCCGCGTATGGGGATGGCTGCTGTTGCTTTCCAACACCACCTGGCAATACTCACCTGGTTCTCTCTCCCCGGATAAAGCTCAGTGACGGGTAGCACACCTGGCCTCCATCCATTTCTCAGGAAGATGATATGGTTAAGTCCGTGCGATACTTTCCTATGGATGCTGGAGTTTTAGTGTTCTTGATTTTGAAGCTAAAAGCAGTCACCCTTAGAAGGGATTGTTCTCGGTTTTTGTTGACATAACAGCAAATAGGAAAACACAGGTACCTATTAACACGGGGCCAGTGACACACAGCCCGCTGCCCATATACTGGAGTCCCACATCAGTGGATTCAACCAACCGCAGATGGAACAAACTATACAAAATAACACGGCCCGGCACGGTGACTCAAGTCTGTAATCCCAGCACTTTGGAATGCAAAGGCAGGTGGATCACTTGAGGTCAGGAGTTCGACACCAGCCTGGTCAACATGGTAAAACCCTGTCTCTACTAAAAGTACAAAAATTAGCCCGGCATGGTTGTGCATGCCTGTAGTCCCAGCTACTTGGGAGGCTGAGGCACAAGAATGGCCTGAACACAGGAGGCGGAAGCTGTAGTGCGCTGAGATGGCACCACTGCACTCCAGCCTGGGTGACAGAGTAAGACTCCATCTCAAAAAAAAAAAAAAAACAATAACAATAATACAAACAAAAAATACAGTACAACGACTATTTCAATGGCATTTATCTTGTATTAGATATAAGGTATGTAGAGATGATTTAAAGCAAACAGGAGGATGTGCATCAGTTATATGCAAACACTACACCATTTTGTGGATTTGGGTAGTCACTGATGTTGTGGGGAGGGTGTGCTGGAGCCAGTTCCCCAGGGATACCGAGGATGACTGTATTCAAGCTGAAACTTGGCCCACAGTTGGGAAAACATCCAGTTTTCAAGGTGGTACCTTCAGCTGTTTCACAGGAAAGATCAACTTGGCCTTTTTCTTTGGGAGCCAGACACAAAGCAGTGTCTTCCTTCAGGTTCACTGCTACAGAAAACCTGCACGTCTTTTCCCTCAATAATTGAGGTGTTGGTGTTCCTTCTCCTTCTCTGCCCACATTTTGCTCTGACTCAAATTCCTCAAATAAGAGTGAGATAGCACAGACTGGGAAAAATCCAACTCTCAGGAGAGTTCGAGGCCTGGCAGCGTCAATGGCGGGCATGTCCAAGCCTCTCCCTGTTGGAGCTGATTCTGTTCAAGACAGGGAGCAGCTGATGCTTTGGGGAACTGAAGTGGGGACCCCCCCACACACCATCTCTACTCCCACCCGCTCTCGGACCCGAGTGGGAACAGCTGTTTCAGCAAGACTGAAATATTAGACTTAGCTGCGGTTTAGTCCTGTCCTAGACTCTGCAGAACTTTTTTTGGCTCTTTGCAAGGGCGTAATGAGTCATGCATTTCACAAGCATTTTCTAAAACGGGGAAACGCCTCCCTATTTGAAATAAGATTCTCCTATGAAAAGAAACTGTGTCAAAAACACCAAAGGACTAATCCACGCACTGTGTAACTTTCATTCCCCCTGCTTGAGTCTCTGCTGAAGACCGGTTTTAACTGTTAGAGGCCTGAAACCCAATCCTGTTATAAATCAAGAAGCCAAATTCCCTTTGGGCTTACATCAGAGCAAACAAATCAGTGCCTCCTCTAATACTAAAGATTAGGTCACAGGCCAGAGGAAACCTAACCTGCTTTGTGGGTTTAGAGCTGCAAGAGCTGTACAAAAAGAAAGAAAGAAAGAAAGAAAGAGGAGAGAGAGAGAGAGAGAGGGAGAAAGAAAGAAAGAAAGAAAGAGAGAGAGAGAGAGAAAGAAAGAAAGAAAGAAAGAAAGAAAGAAAGAAAGAAAGAAAGAAAGAAAGAAAGAAAAAAAGCTCTTGGCCTAACCCTTAACCAAATGTGAAGTGCGTGTCATAGGTGGATGGAATGTCATTCTGCTCCTTGAAATCATCATTTTTAGCAACAGATTCATATCACAGTCACTTTTCCATGATGGCATCTCCACATTATTTTGACCCTTAATAACCATCCCAGGCACCAAAAGCAATCATCAGGTTCTATCACAAGCACTTTTCTGATACCTTAAAAATTTTCAGAGTCTGGGGCTGGTAATTTCTCTTTATGTCCCTGTAAACCCCAAATCAATCTCGACTTCCCTGCCCTTTCATCCAACTGATGCTGAGAACTTTCTCCCCAAAGAAAGAAAAGCCAGGCATTCAGAGTCAGATGTGGTGTGGACTGTTTCTGGTTAGATGACTCAGCCCATTTTTGTGGATTTCCCAAGATGCTTTCTGAAATTCTGTTGAAAAATATCTTGTGTGATCTGGTAACAAATTAAACAAAAGACAAACCACCAAATGCTTGCCTGTTTGAAAAGGCCAACCACAAAATACTCCGATTCACGGTGACCTATCGTGGGGGAGAAGCAGCTCTGGATCATCAGATAAATTCTAACTTCCACAAACCCCGGCTCCCTGGACTCCTTTCTGAGGCTTCATGAAAGATAGAGGGGGGTTTCACATAACTGCATTTCAAATAACTCTAAGGCTCATGACACCAAGATACTTTTTAAGGTTTTAGAAAACTTGCCCTCCTCTGCTGACCATGCCAAGATGCACTGGTGGCTTTGGTTTGCCTTATTTTGCCATCTTCAGTTTTAAAAGTATTGAGAGACAGAGGATGCTTGTTTGTTTTCATTTTGTTTTAATTCCAGAAGCTAAGTAATCACTTAATATATATTTTCTTTGACAATTAACAAAAGTGATTCATACTTTTTGTGGAAGTCTATTTTCTTTCCAGCAGCACACGCCCACATTTCTTTGGTGACTTACAGAGCAGAACAATAAGCACCGAATCTGTTTTTCACCAACCAGGATTCCTCGCCAGGCTTTTCCCAGCATACTCACGCAGATGGAATTTCTGGCTCACGCTTCGTCCTTTTGCTGTTGTTGTTGTGTTTGTTGAGGTTGTTGTTAGGTGTTTTCCTCTGAACTGAAAAAGGGATATATCTATGCTCTCCCTGATCTCTCGGGAAGCTGACAAAACAAAGAAGCGTACGTGCCCAGCACACACAGCCCCGCCCAACCCTGTGGTGTAGTTTGTCCTGCCCAAACACATGAACCACAAAGTGCGCTCATTCACAAACACACAACTTCCTTTCCTGAACAACAGCGCCTCCCGCTCCCGCTGGAAAGGGTGTCCCCAGCTGTCTGGGAGATGTCCTGCCCCGCCGCACGGGGGTGGAATTTGCAGTTTTGCAGAGGAGTCACCAAGACGAGGCAATTTGCTTGCTCTTGGTAAAGTTGTTTTGTTGTTGTTGCCGTTGATTCTATTTCTCTTTCTGGAACTGAAATGTTGGCCTTTGGAGAATTCCTGCGCTATAAGGAGTACACAGACTTGGGAAAACTTAGCACACCAAGAGAAGGAGTGGCACTATGTGTTTTGCCAAAACCCATCTGAAATTTCCTGTTTTCCACGTTTGGGATGTAACGTTAACTTTTAGGGTCAGAGTTGCTCTCTCCCGGGGAAGTTGCAACTTTTTATTCCTGACTTCTTCAAGGGCTTGTGAAAGATCTCCAATGTGCTTCTACAAAAGATACAAATGCCTTTTTAAGAAAACCCTCTGTGAGCTGCACTCATTGGATCTGAAACCAGATGCATTCAATTTGCCTTTAAGTCTTCACCAGCTCATCCTCAAGGTAAACAAAGAAAACTCAAGCAAGTGTACAAAGAATTTTATTTTGCCCTTGAAGATAGTAAAACAACTTCAGACATTGAATAGTCTGTGAACAATCAAAAAAGTTACACTAACATCTAATATTTAAAATGGCTTCAGTCAGTAAGAACCTAAATGTCATAATTTTCATTCTATATAGACTTTATTAATGACTGTTAGAGTATACAATGTGTGTGTATATTTATATACATACACTGAATGTTAGAATATATAATGTGTGTGTGTGTATATATATATATATACACTGAATGTTAGAATATATAATATACACACACATTATATATTCTAACATTCATTAATAAAGTCTATATCTATTAATGGCATTATATATATTAAAGACCTAATATATAATGATACTTTTATTGCCAAAAGGGAAAACTGCAAAAAAATAGATATTTTTACATTTTTAAGAACAAAGTCGAGGTCAGGCACGGTGGCTCACGCCTGTAGCTGGTGGCTCACGGCCTCCAGCACTTTGGGAGGCCGAGGCAGGCAGATCATGACGTCAGGAGATCGAGACCATCCTGGCTAACACGGTGAAACCCCGTCTTTACTAAAAATACAAAAAATTAGCTAAGCATGGTGGTGGGCGCCTGTAGTCCCAGCTACTCGGAAGGCTGAGGCAGGAGAATGGCATAAACACGGGAGGTGGAGCTTGCAGTGAGCTGAGATCAGGCCACTGCATTCCAGCCTGGGCAACGGAGCGAGACTCCGTCTCACAAAAAAAAAAAAAAAAAAAAAAAAAAAAAAAAAAGAACAAACTCTAATGGTTCCGAAAAGATGAAAAACTCTATATTGTTAGTTGTTTCTGAATAGAGAAGTACAAATACAAGCAATGAGATAAGATTAGATTCTGTAGAAACTTCCTGAGAAGCCAGTCTCCAATCTATAATCTCCTTATTCTTTCCTTCAAATCTTAAACCAACTGAATACAGATTTTAGCTGAAATATAGCCATATACATAACACCATTTACTCTAAAAATTTCCTCCATGAAACTTAAAGTTGAAAATAGAAACACTGCCCACGTTCCCTGAAAAATCACCCTATAATTATTCCGGAAAATGCTCAGATGGGTCCTACGTGGTGTAAAGCAGAGGAAAGCTCTGACCACTTGGTGACCTGGCTGCCTCCGGCATGTGCCACGTGCATGAAAACAGGAGGGAGGCACGCACTCTGTGATGGTGCCATGGCTGGGGCCTGAGCCGCCCCGTTCCTATCCTGTCACCCCCATCTCCCGCGCAGGCTTCTAGCTGTGAGCAGTGGTTCTAGGCACCCCTGTTTATATTCACTCATGTTCCTGCAGGTGAGCTTTCATTCCTGAAGTTTGTGTAATGCTGAAGTTACAGTTTTACAAGCAACGTTGAAAACGGCTTCCTGCTGTAACTTTCAGGAAGAGGAAGAGCTGTGTTAAGCCAAACTCTGGAGGCCAGTGACTGCATGTTTGCTTCCACAGGAGGCTGGTCCGAACTGCAGCTTGTCCTCACAGCCAGGAGAATGTTTGTCCAGAGATCACTTTAAAAAATGCTCATCAGGTTGACAGTTATAAGACCATAATATGAGGACTTCACCCTGCTGATGAGGGAGACTCAGAGAATGAGAAAAGTACAGCTTTGGTAACTTTTGAATGAGTTCCATACTTGTCATAAACACAGACCAACCCAAGTAAACTCCAGAGTTCAACTGTGACACGCTCTTCAGCCTGCACCAGAAAAGGCAGCGCAGTTAGGCTAATCCCAGGCTAGCACAGAGAAGTTGGGAAGAGTGTTCATCTCGCTCAGTCAGAATTCACACACAGAAAGGGGAGTGGGTGGTTACCAGGCTTAATATGTTCAATAAGGCTTTTTCTCCAGCAAGACGTGGAAATCCTTTTATAACCTGTTTTGTTCTTCCTCTAACCACTTACATTTCTATGTGTCACCCTTTCCTTCTCGATAAAATTTTGATAATCATTTGTCCTAACAAAGCCCAGAGAGGCGTTGAAAGAAGCCCATGAGATTATGGTTAGGAAAGCACTTTTGAAAATGCTATGTAAACACAATGCTGTCACCACCTACTTGCGAAATTGTGGACAGGAACAACTGCCTTACACACACACACACACCTGTGAAATACCAGACTGATTTAATCCGAAAGGAAGGTTAATTCCAAACTACTGATCACTTCTGATCATTAAACACATGCAGATACGCACAGTTAAAAAGTAGTTTTTAGAAAAGGTAAAATTATCATTCTCATACACATATAAATAAATAGATGTTTAAGAATATATTTAACTCGTAGGATGTGAGGGAATTAAACAGATGTTATAACCGATTCAAAGAAAAAATCAAAATGACACATAAAATATATGCAGCAAAGGAACATTGAGATCAACTGCAAATAAGCATGAAATTGGACGGAGAGGAGGTCAATGAAACCACTATCAGCAAGTACAGAATTTGCACATCTGTCCTATAGTTTGTGTAAGCTGCCTATAATTTACAAAGAATTGCATAGGAATGCAAAATTAATGCACAGGGTTGAATTCTGATAACCCTGAAAGGTGTGCTCTAGATCATGCAGTTTTCTAGTGAAACACAAGACTCCTACACACCCAAGCATACAGACTCTTTAGATTCATGATTGGTCATGTTTTATGGGAAGACAGCCACGCTCATGTCTCAGTGGCTGCTCCATCTACACAACACCAGTGAGCAGTTACCGTGGAGACCACCCGGCCTCCAGAGCATTTACTTTTTGGCTCCTTACAGATAAAGTTTGCCGACCCCTATTTCTATCAATATATGGCATTGCAAACCATATTTAGTTAGTTATGCATTTATTTCCTAATTAATGAGTGCCCAGTGGGTGCACTGGCATCTCCCCCTTAATGGAATTCTTCTTAGCCATGGACATTTGTAAGCTAAGACTTAGGATCATCACTAAACATAAAACGATACACAAACCAAGTGGCTACCAACTTTTTAAATTATTATTTTGAGTTTTGTTAAATGTCTTATTTTTAATACACTAGCAAACAAAGATAGTGCTGTCTGAACAATGAAGATGCCCATCCAACTGTCTAATCTAGACCCTGAATACTGAAAAGGCTCTCTCCCTGACCTGACCTTGGTCAACCTCCCCTAAGCTGTCTTTCAAGGCCTGTCCTTGGGCCTATTTCTTAAGAACAAGAATCTTGTTCAAGTCAGTTCAATGAGAGTCCCCTACCCTTGATTCCAATCACTCTTCGTAGCTGATCACAACCCTCACTCCTCAGCATCCCTCAGTTGACATCTGCCCACATTGAACTGCCTTCAACAAGACTCCTGTCCAGCCCATTTATCCAGAATTTTTTCCCCCGATGTTCCCTCTTAGTAATTTTCCATTCACTGACCCCCGACCCTGCTCCAAGGCTGTAAATTCTCACTTTTCATTTTTGTATTTGAAGTTGAACCCAATGTGTCTTTCCTAGTCATTGCAGTAGTCCCGTTGAATAAGATCTTCCATGCCATCTTAAGGGTCAGCAGAACCTTTTCTTTAACAGTAGGCATATCTAGGCAAGTCATCAATCTTAGGATGGCATAACTTATATATCCCCAAGCATATGGAAGGTATGTGAGTAACTTAGCATTTCTGTTCCCTTTACCCTCTTGTATTTTTTATTTTAATTTACTTTACATTCTGCTATAAAAAAAACAAGGATTCTGAAATCTCTAATAAAACACATTATCTAGATTATGAAGGACTAAATGAAGATGCTGGGTGGCTGGGAGACTGGGCCCCATACCTCCAGGATCACTCCTAACCAGTGCATCTTATATATATAAGTTACAGCAGGCGGGTTCCTACAATGAGCAGACCCAAAAATGCATGGTAGCTTAAACACAAAAAAGTAACATAACAGAATTATGTAAGTGAATAAATTACTGAATGATCAACATCTACACAAAGACCCTGCAATCTTCCCCATTTACCTTCTAAGTTCACCCTATAATCATCTAAAGAATATGGAGAAGAGGTTCATGGAAAGTCCTGCTGGATCCAGTTTGGAAGTAACTCACTTCCCTTCTGCTTTCATTCATTACCAAAACTTGCTGGTGTGGATGCTTCTGACAGCAAGGCAGGCTGGAAAATGTAGTCTCTACCTGCAGCAATTTCCTAATATGGGAAGCATAATATAGGCAAGTCCTCCTGGCCTCTAGACTCAGTATTAACTTATTGATTAAAGCTTGAGATTTCTGCAACAACACAAACTCTCTTATTCTATAAACTAGCCATGCTGATTTTAAAATACAAACATGCCTAAAGACAGAAATAATGATAGGAAAGTCATCCTCATTATGGTGCAAGTAGCTTATTGTAGCTACATATTGTGATGTGGTACGGTGTTGGGAGACCATTGTTCATGGGTCTCTTGGGTTTCCTATTGTACCTACAGGTTGTGATGTGGTATGGTGTCTCCTGGGTTTCTTATTGTACCTACAAGTTGCGATGTGCTACGGTGTTGGGAGACCATTGTTCGTGGTCTCTTGGGTTTCTTATTGTACCTACAAGTTGTGATGTGATATGGTGTTGTGAGACCATTGTTCATGGGTCTCTTGGGTTTCTTATTGTAGCTATAAGTTACGATGTGGTACAGTGTTGGGAGACCATTGTTCATGGGCCTCTTGGGTTTCCTATTGTACCTACAGGTTGTGATGTGGTACAGTGTTGGGAGACCATTGTTCATGGGCCTCTTGGGTTTCCTATTGTACCTACAGGTTGTGATGTGGTACAGTGGAGCCCATTGTCCATGGGTCTCTTGGGTTTCTGCCTGTCCTGTGAGCAGAGGCACAGGTTACCTTTGCTTTGGACAATCTTCTCAAGGAAGTTTGTAGAGTGAACAACTTGGGTGACAATGATCATGTCTCCTTCAGAGAAAAGGACCAATCCACTTGCAGCCTGGGAATATGGATCCTGCCTCCCCCTAGAGGATCATGCCATAAAAGATCTGGGACCCATCATCTTTGGTTTCCACCCTTGTGATGTAGCCCAGTGTGTATGCAAGTATCACTTGGCTCTTTGTGCTGCCTTGTGGGAACTGAGTTTTGGGAACCAGCATAATAGAAATGATATCTAGACAACTGTAATTGCTGTGATAATAAATTGTCCTTTACCTGCAACCTGGGAACCTCACATCCTCTACCAGAAACCATGAAATGGCATCAGGCTAACCAAGTTAGTGTACAAGTGGGGCAAAGTCTCAGCTCCTTCACAGATCTTGACAAGAATTAATGTCATATAATTAAAAAAAAAAACAGAGGAGGTATGTGCTTTCATCTTCACCTAGAGCCAGACTTGTCATGCACCATCTGTAGAATAAAGGTACCGATGCCTCAAGTCTTGTTTAAGACCCTAGATCCATAAGCTCATAGAAGCAAAAGATGTTGCAAGCATGTTTCTTGCTATATATTCTTGCTTTGGAGGCAGCTAATTGTAGAATACTCATTTAGACAAATTCTATTATTTTCATCTTTATATTCCTTTATTATACTGTTTATGTGTATTAGCTATACATATTAGTCCAGATGATTCTTTAGAAGTTAATGACACTGTCCTAACCATGATGCATCTTAATAGGCATATTTAAGAATATATAAAAATACATAAGACCCCCTCACTCCAGAAAGAAGCAAATAACAAACCAAAATATATCATCACACACCATGAATGTTCAGCCTTCTCTGAGGTGTGGGAACAAGATTTTAAACCAGGTTCTACATCCTGATTGTATCAGATGTTGATGAGATTACATCACAACAAGGATCTTGCTATGAATTTTTAAGGTGAAAATATATAACCTTAGAGTTGAAAAAAATCAAAAAGCTAATGTTGCCATTTTGGGTACAACAAAGAGTATCTCAACAAGGTGACTTTATGAAAACTCATGGGCTTCTAGTGATGAAATCAGTTGGTTTAGAGTAATAAAAGTAAATAATGGTTTCTGCGTGTCTTGAGGATTCAGTTAGTTAAATGGAATCCCTGCTGGGCTGGCTTCCCTGAGAATCTACTTGGTACATGTAAAGACGAGAAAGGTCATTTTTCCATAAGCAATTTCATTGTTTGGACTTTAATCTGAAGCAAATTATCCTTCTTCAATAAAAGTGAAGTGGTGTAATCATGCACGGTACTTTCAAATTCAGAAATGTAATATTATGCCAGAATATTAAAATCACATTCAACTCATGTCTCTGGGTATATTTGATCATAATAGGGCCCTTTCCAGTTTATGTAATCACTGGATACAACAACAGTTAACTTATCATCAGCTAAGTAAGCAGAGCCAGGGCCTGAGTGTTTGTGAATCTGAAGCTATTACCTGTGAATAACCAAGACGTCATCATATACCTCCCTTTCAGTGAACATTTCTTTATTCTCTCCGGAAATAATGAGTATGTGCTACAACAGATTTCTATCAATGTCCAATAGAATGGGAAATTAGAACCGGAAGAGCATTGTTGAAGTTTTCTAAGTCTCCTGCCTAATTTTTATGAAACCTAATGCAGTATCTCCACTTGATCAGATAGTCTATCACCATGAAGTAGAAGATACTCAACACCTCTGTGAAATAAATACTACAATCACCCCATGTGATGAAGGGCAACTGGGAAACCGAAGGATTTTTGAATGTCAGAAATGAGGTACACATCCAAGTGTTTCTGACTCCTGGGTCAAGCTGGGATCAGGGCAGGGAAGAGGAGGAGACAGCTCTAGGAAAGTGAGGATGCATCATCTGATAAGACGCCAGAAGAAATGACAAGAGCATAGGAAAATCTTTTCCCATTTTTCATGTGTCGGGAATTTAAACACGTCGCCATTTGATTTCTCTGTAATAGATCCCTCCTATTCGTCCATTAAAAATTACCATGTGTGGGCTGGGCACAGTGACTCACACCAATCCCAGCACTTTGGGAGGCTGAGGTGGGAGGATCGCTGAGCCCAGGAGTTTGAGACCAGTCTAGGCCACATAGTGAGATCCCCATGTCTACAAAAAAGAAAAGAAAAGAAAATATGATCAAGTGCTAAGAGAAGGAGCTATTTGGTCTCTGGGGATGTTTCTGGTCTATGTACAGGCCGCAAGGTCCTCATTCAGGGCATTCTTTGAGCATTTCTATAGAGGGAAGAGTAACAAACAAGTTGGCATGGACATGAACTTTTTTTTTTTTTTGAAACAGAGCCTTGCTGTGTTGCCCAGGCTGGAGTGCAGTGACACAATCTAAGCTCCCTGCAACCTCTGCCTCCTGGGTTCAAGGGATTCTCATGTCTTAGACTCTGTCTGAGTAGCTGGGACTACAGGGACGTGTCACCACATCCAGCTAATTTTTTTTTTTTTATTTTTAGTGGAGATGGGTTTTCAGCAAGTTGGCCAGGCTAATCTTGAACTTCTGGCCTCAAGTGACGTGCCTGCCTCTGCCTCTTAAAGTACTGGGATTACAAGTGTGAATTCTTTTCTTTTTTTTTTTGAGATGGAGTCTCACTCTGTTACCCAGGCTGGAGTGAAGTGGTGTGATCTTGGCTCACTGCAAGCTCCGCCTCCTGGGTTCACGCCATTCTCCTGCCTCAGCCTCCCGAGTACCTGGGACTACAGGTGCTCGCCACCATGCCCAGCTAATTTTTTTTTGGATTTTTAGTAGAGACGGGGTTTCACCATGTCAGCGAGGATGGTCTTGATCTCCTGTCCTCGCGATCCACCTGCCTTGGCCTCCCAAAGTGCTGGGATTACAGGCGTGAGCCACCGCGCCAGGCACAAGTGTGAATTTTGACATAAATCAGATGGGAATAGTAGAGGTGGTTCTGTCTGGAAGTTAGGTCAAGGGAGGACAGTTTCCTCAGCATGCAGGCCAGCTGGAAGCCAAATGTCCACAGGAGTGCAGGATGGAGCAGAGAAAGCCACAGGAAGGGCTGTCAACCCCCAGATGGGTGCAGGTAACCCTGTCCAGATGGGTGCCGGTTCAGCCAGAAAAGATCATGACTATCCCAGTTTGTGAGCGCATGAGTATTGAAGTGTGGATGCATGCATATCTCAGTATGCGAGAGCATGAGTACCCCAGCGGTAATGCGTGTGTATTTCAGTGGGCGAGAGCATGAGTACCCCAGCATGAATGCGTGCGTATCTCAGTGTGTGAGAGCGTGAGTACCCCAGAATGAATGCGTGCATATCTCAGTGTGTGATAGCGTGAGTACCCCAGCGGGAATGCGTGCATATCTTAGTGTGCGAGAGCATGAGTACCCCAGCGGGAATGCGTGTGTATTTCAGTGTGCGAGACCATGAGTACCCCAGCATGAATGCGTGCGTATCTCAGTGTGTGAGAGCGTGGGTACCCCAGCATGAATGCGTGCGTATCTCAGTGTTTGAGAGCATGAGTA
Source organism: Homo sapiens (assembly GCF_000001405.40). Classification (NCBI taxonomy): domain Eukaryota; kingdom Metazoa; phylum Chordata; class Mammalia; order Primates; family Hominidae; genus Homo; species Homo sapiens. The sequence continues at coordinate 3,458,574 of NC_000010.11, read as the reverse complement.
CCCCAGCGGGAATGTGTGCATATCTCAGTGTGTGAGAGCGTGGGTACCCCAGCGGGAATGCGTGCGTATCTCAGTGTGTGAGAGCATGGGTACCCCAGTATGAATGCGTGCATATCTCAGTGTTTGAGAGCATGAGTACCCCAGCGGGAATGTGTGCATATCTCAGTGTGTGAGAGTGTGAGTACCCCAGCGGGAATGCGTGCGTATCTCAGTGTGTGAGAGCGTGAGTACCCCAGCATGAATGCGTGCGTATCTCAGTGTGTGAGAGCGTGAGTATCCCAGCGGGAAAGCGTGCGTATCTCAGTGTGTGAGAGCGTCAGTACCCCAGCATGAATGCGTGCGTATCTCACTGTGTGAGATCGTGAGTACCCCAATGGGAATGCGTGCGTATCTCAGTGTGTGAGAGCGTGAGTACCCCAGAGGGAATGCGTGCGTACCTCAGTGTGTGAGAGCGTGGGTACCCCAGCATGAATGCGTGCATATCTCAATGTGTGACAGCGTGGGTACCCCAGCATGAATGCGTGCATATCTCAGTGTGTGAGAGCGTGGGTACCCCAGCATGAATGTGTGCAGATCTCAGTGTGTGACAGCGTGGGTACCCCAGCATGAATGTGTGCATATCTCAGTGTGTGAGAGCGTCGGTACCCCAGCATGAATGCGTGCAGATCTCAGTGTGTGACAGCGTGGGTACCCTAGCATGAATGCGTGCATATCTCAGTGTGTGAGAGCGTGAGTACCCCAGCGGGAATGCGTGCATAACAGTGTGTGGGAGCGTCAGTATCCCAGCATGAATGTGGGCGTATCTCAGTGTGTGAGAGCGTGGGTACCCCAGCATGAATGCATGCATATCTCAGTGTGTGAGAGCGTGGGTACCCCAGCATGAACGCGTGCGTATCTCAGTGTGTGAGAGCGTCAGTACCCCAGCGGGAATGTGTGCGTATCTCAGTTTGTGAGAGCGTGCGTACCCCAGCGGGAATGCATGCGTATCTCAGTGTGTGAGAGCGTGGGTACCCCAGCATGAATGCGTGCGTATCTCAGTGTGTGAGAGCGTCAGTATCCCAGCGGGAATGCGTGCGTATCTCAGTGTGTGAGAGCGTGGGTACCCCAGCATGAATGCGTGCATATCTCAGTGTGTGAGAGCATCAGTACCCCAGCGGGAATGCGTGCGTATCTCAGTGTGTGAGAGCGTGAGTACCCCAGCATGTATGCGTGCATATCTCAGTGTGTGAGAGCATGAGTACCCCAGCGGGAATGCGTGCGTATCTCAGTGTGTGAGAGCGTTGGTACCCCAGCATGAATGCGTGCGTATCTCAGTGTGTGAGAGCATGAGTACCCCAGCGGGAATGCGTGCATATCTTACTGTGTGAGAGCGTGAGTACCCCAGCATGAATGCGTGCGTATCTCAGTGTGTGAGAGCGTGGGTACCCCAGCATGAATGCGTGCGTATCTCAGTGTGTGAGAGCGTGAGTACCCCAGCATGAATGCATGCGTATCTCAGTGTGTGACAGCGTGGGTACCCCAGCATGAATGTGTGCATATCTCAGTGTGTGAGAGCGTGAGTACCCCAGCGGGAATGCGTGCATAACTCAGTGTGTGAGAGCGTCAGTACCCCAGCATGAATGCGTGCGTATCTCACTGTGTGAGAGCGTGAGTACCCCAGTGGGAATGCGTGCGTATCTCAGTGTGTGAGAGCGTGAGTACCCCAGAGGGAATGGGTGCGTATCTCAGTGTGTGAGAGTGTGGGTACCCCAGCAGGAATGCGTGCATATCTCAATGTGTGACAGTGTGGGTACCCCAGCATGAATGCGTGCATATCTCAGTGTGTGAGAGCGTGAGGACCCCAGCGGGAATGCGTGCGTATCTCAGTGTGTGAGAGCGTGAGTACCCCAGCATGAATGCGTGCATATCTCAGTGTGTGAGAGTGTGAATAGCCCAGCGGGAATGCATGCGTATCTCAGTGTGTGACAGCGTGAGTACCCCAGCATGAATGCGTGCGTATCTCAGTGTGTGAGAGTGTCAGTACCCCAGTGGGAATGCATGCGTATCTCAGTGTGTGACAGCGTGAGTACCCCAGCATGGATGCGTGCGTATCTCAGTGTGTGAGAGTGTCAGTACCCCAGTGGGAATGCATGCGTATCTCAGTGTGTGAGAGTGTGAGTACCCCAGCGGGAATGCGTGCATAACTCAGTGTGTGAGAGCGTGGGTACCCCAGCGGGAATGCGTGCGTATCTCAGTGTGTGAGAGCATGAGTACCCCAGCATGGATGCGTGCGTATCTCAGTGTGTGAGAGCGTGAGTACCCCAGTGTGTGATCCCAGTGTTTGAATGCATGTGTACCCCAGTGTGGATGCATGAGTATCCCAGTGTGTGAAAGCTGGAGACATAGTGAAGCTATGTGATTCACTCTCACAAATCAAGAACCAACAACGTGTAAGGCTGGTGGGTTCAGCCCAGTAATGCACAGCATGGTTAGTGACAAAAGAGAAGGAAGACTAAGTGCACAGCTGACCAGGCCATTCAAAACAAAAGTGTGTAGAACCATGTGTGCATGTGTATATGTTTACCTGTGTGTGCATGTGTGTGTGTGTGCATGCATGTGTGTGCCTGTGTGTGTGTGTGTGTGTGGATTCTGAACCTGCCGAAATGCTTAAAGCAGACAGGATATGATGCAAGTTTCTTCAACCAAAGCTGAAAATTACATTTCTCATCTAGAGTGGAAATGAGAAGATAATTTGAAAAACATGAGCATTTTGTTAAATTAATCCAGGTAGAAGGAGGTCATCAGCTGTAATTTAATAAAACTAATTGGAAATTAACTACCAATAAATAATTTGTACCCTGAGGCTTTGAAATTTACCATAAAGCAACGTGGTACTCAGCACAGCTGCTCTGCATAGCTTGAGCGGGCCCCACAGGCAGGAAAGGGTGAGGGGAAGGAAGAGCAGGAACTGCGGCCGGAAGGCTAAATCACGTCAGGGGAAAACCTTGAGTTTGCTGGTGCAGGAAATTTTGCCTATGGGAAAATGCATACTTTCTGTCTAGAGTCATGGAGTCTCCGTGTGAGGTTGGGGTGGTGAGGATCGGGCTCAAAGATAACACAAATGCATGTGTAGCCAATTGCCAAGGGGCACGGTGAACAGGGACTTGTCCTTTCCCTGTTAGGGCTTTCAAATCTCAGAGTAACTGGTGACCTGGGGAATGTGGGTGTGTGGAACCTTCCCCACCCCACCGGACCGCATTTCCCAGTAACAGGATGGATGCCATCCATTCGACTTTGCACCATCTCCAGGTCTCCAAAGACCCACGTATGACGGAAAGAAACATTTGCCAACATGAGGCCTGCCTTAGCCACCAGCAGCCACTTAGAAGACACCGTGAAATCAGGAAATGAGATTCTCAGGCTTCACAGGGTCTTTGTTAATGTTGCTTTCTTGGTTTCCTAAAATCCATTTTTTTAAATTAAAAAAAAGTCCAGCTCAGAAGTAAATGGCTTAATTTATCCTAAGACTATTTTGGAAACATACACCTTCAGACTTGCAGCTAGATCTAATTTATCCCTAGACAACGGCCTTTCTGAGGTCCCTGAATCATAAACTCCATTCTCAAACCAGTCATTGAAAAAGATACAGTATATACACTCTGCCCAAGAAATATGATTTTTTCCTGCAAGGAGACAGAAAAGAGGAAAGACACTTGAATTTGTTCAGCCTTTCCTTTGTTATTTTTATTTCAAATGAGTGGAGTGTTTTAAAAGCTTCATCTACAAAATTAGGGGGTAAAAATCACAGCTACAGAAAGCTAAAAGCATCCATCCAATGGCATCAAATATTTATGGGTGTAAACTTTGAATGAAAGATCTCAAGTCACTTTGAAATGTTTTAAGTGAATAATTAAATTTTAAAGCAACCACTGTGCCGGCGCGGTCGCTCACGCCTGTAATCTAGCACTTTGGGAGGCCGAGGCAGGCGGATTGCCTGAGCTCAGGAGTTTGAGACTAGCCTGGGCAACATGGCTAAACCCCATCTCTACTAAAAAAGTAGCTGGGCGTGGTAGCTCGCACCTGTAATCCCAGATACTCGGGAGGCTGAGGCACGAGAATCGCTTGAACCTGGGAGGCGGAGGTTGCAGTGAGCCAAGATAGTGCCACTGCACTCCAGCCTGGGCAACAGAGTGAGACTCTGTCTCAAAAAAGTAAAAATAAAATAAAATAAAACAACCGCTGGAAGGCCTGGTGCTGTGAGTGGCACCGTCGTTGCAAGGACCACACTTGGGCCTGTTTCTGCCGCTTGGTCATGAGACAGAACAGAATCCATTGGGGATGTTATGGAGAAGGACAACGTGGCTAAACTGAAGGAAGAATTTTCTCTTTTTTTCTTTTTCTTTCTTTCTTTTTTTTTTTTTTTTTTAGAGACGGAGTTTCTCTCCTATAGCCCAGGCTGGAGTGCAATGGCATGATCTCGGCTCACTGCAACCTCTGCCTCCCGGGTTCAAGAGATTCTTCCGCCTCAGCCTCCCAAGTAGCTGGGATTATGGGTGCCCGCCACCACGCCCTGCTAATTTTTGTATCTTTAATAAAGACAGGGTTTCACTATGTTGGTCAGGCTGATCTTGAACTCCTGACCTCATGACCTGCCCGCCTCGGCCTCCCAAAGTGCTGATATTACAGGCATGAGCCACCAAGCCCAGCTGAATTTTCTATTAACCCTGACTGAGCAGCAATAAATAGGCCACCAGTAATAGAGAACATCAGGTTAGCTGAATGGACAGCTGTCAGCAGCAGAAAGAAGGTTTTTAATTGAGGAGGAAGTTAAATTACATTCACTTAAAGGTTACATTCAGTTCTGATATTTTGATGCATGTTTTACAAAATATTGTATTCTACGGCAAGAGTTATTGCTCTCTACACTTTCCTTGGGAGGAATTACATCATGGTCCACTGTCCCCAAGAAAAACCCTTGAGGAGATACAGGCTTCAGAGTTCTTCTTTTCTTTTTCAATCTTCAAAATATGGTATATTCACCATATTTTTCCACAGGACCCTAAGCAGGGCTAGAGCAGTCATCTATTTGTAAAATACGTTAATACTTCTGTACTAATTGTATACATATTCAGAATAAAGGACTTAGAAAGCTTGTCATCAATATTGTATAAATCTGCTCACTTTTTGCTGCCATATGTATTTTGGTGTCAGTTCTACAAATATGACTTTGTTTTCAGACTTTTCCTGATTTTAGAATTTGCACATGAGAAATCATATCTTAGATTTTAGAATCAGCCATTACCAAGGTTTAACTCTGGCCCCATCTGCTAAAAGACATGTCCTTGAGCAAACGATTTCATCAGTTTCTCTTTAGCATGTTACGATGGGGGTTAGAAAAGGCTGAGCGGCATGTCCCTGTGTGATAGTACATTCCAAACCTATGACTGGAAATAAAAAGCGTTGTATTTTCACTGAGGTCAGAGAAAAACATCAGAGCTTACTAGAAGATGCGTGCCCTCCTTCCTAGAGTAAAAGCTCTTTGAAGTAGCATTTGTATGTTTTTGTGTTTGCAGCCAGTACTCTATACTCTAATTTTCTAAAATTAAATTGAATTACAGTGAGGAAAGAGAAATTCGGTGAAGAGATGAAAAGACTCCTGAGTCATTCTGAAGGCTTCTCTGGAAGGAAGCCCTAGAATTCACTTTTGCAGTGCTTTCAGAAGAGGATGAAATCAGCCCCTTCCAGCCTCAATCGTCCTGCCCCACAGAAGGCCTTGGGGATAATAGCCCTGAGGTCCCTTCTTTTCCTGTATTCTTAAGAATTCACAGTTCTTTTTGGAGAGGAAGATGGCAAATTAATAATAATAATGATAGTAATGTAACAATAATAATAAAACAAAGACCTACCTTAGAGTTGTCAATTAAACAGTACCAATATATAGCTCAGGTAGTTTGTGTTTGATAAGATGATTCACTTTGCACCAGGTTTGAGAATATCCTGTTGTACTTCTTTGCAAATTCTTTTCTGAAACAGGATGTTTTCATTGTCTTACAATTGCTGCTATAGAAAAGAAAGGCCCTGATTTGAAATAGGCTGGTAACCCCTACTGGGAGAAAGCAGTAGTCCCTGTGTCAAAGCCTTTCCTCAAAACGAAAGTCATGTTGCTTTTGGGATGAATTCCGGGGGCTGAAGGCCTGCTGTAGCTCCCTGTAAATCAGACTTCCTGGCTAGATTAAGCACTCAACAATGCTGAACAGACCGCAAATGTTATTGCAAGCAAAATCCTATTTTAATCTGCCCTCCTGACTCTTGGAATGTTAAATTCAACTGCAACTTGGAAAGTTCCATCCCTTTGATCTCCCATCGAAGTGGGCTTATTTTTGAAGTAAAAGCTGCTTACTTTGGGATTTGACGTCTTTAAAAGTACTTTTTTTAAGTCAAATACGTTAAGCATCCTCTCTGATTCATGAAAAGGCAGTTTTTCTTTCCCTTGGGATGCTGTATTTATATGAAGGCATGGGAGGCAGGGAAGAACAATGTGGAATGTGTGAGTTTGTAAGATGTTCACATTCCCAAAATAAATGGGATCTGCTGCTTTAAGGGTAGTAGGCAGTGTGGGTAGGTGCCCGGTGCAATTGACCTCCTTGCTAGAAAATCACAGATCATTAGCACTGGCAGTGACTCTGTTATGTTTACAACCCATTGCAAAACAGCAGTGAAAACAAAGCAGTGTGGGTGAAACACAGAATCTATCATCTATCACGCTTTGCCTAGTAAAGCTCTGTAAGTGCTGGCATCTTTGCTGAGAACCCAGACAAGCCCTCTTCTGTTTGGGCATAGGATAGTTCTGACCTAGAAATGACCACCTAGAAACAGGCAGAACCAGAACATGGTATTTAGAGGAAAGAGGAGGAGGGAGGAGGAATCGGCTTAGCAATGACCCACAAGTATTCAAAGGGTGTCCTACACAATGCTGTGTGGCACCCTTGGCCAGACTGCAGGTGCCTTCAAGCTGAAGGCTTTATCAAGATAGATGGACAGGTTCTTCAGGCCCAGTGGAGCTTTACAGGGAGGTGCAGGGAGGAAGAGAAGTTCTGAGATCCTGCTGCAACCTGCCCACCACTCTTCATTCCTGCCGATCATGGGTAGTTAGGGTATGTGACCATGCCCTCCATTCAACCTTGTAAGATTAAGCTCTTTCTCTACAATGTGACTCAACTCATAAGTGACCTTCTATGGAAATGAATTCACTTTGCAGCAGTGATTACTGTAATGACCTCTTGCTCCTCCATGGTGGCTTTCATCTGAGAAGCTTCAGCACCTTCTAAACAATAATTAGCCACACCACTATGTGGTCTTCGCAATTGAATAAATTAAGCACAATCAACCTTGAACTACCTGAATCTTAATGACTTACATGGGGCCACATAATGGCTAGTGGCACACCACGAAGAACCTGAGAACGTCCATGTCTAGTCCCTATTCTAGCCTGTGTTAAACGGTGTTATTTTAATTCTGTTTTTGAAACTATATTCTACTAACATACTTAGAAAAAGATGATTCATTGAGTTTTGTCCATCTCAAATGAGGAAAGAGAGAAACAAGGATAAACTGAAGGAAAACATAACTTGAAGAGGGGAGAAAAGAGAAGCGGGACTTATCCTCGGTGAGGTTTGGAAAGTACTGTGATTCTGCACACTTCATCTCATGACATATTTATGTTTCTAGGAATCAAGTGCTCAAAGCACCCTCATTCTAGGCCTCTGCTCTGAGTTCACACTCTAGGTGGGCCCGTTCTTCCCAAGGTGACTTCACGTGGCACTGCTCTCTCCCTTCTCCATTCCTGTAGTCCTGTCATCTTTTTAGCCTGTGTTGCTAATATTAGATGGCATACTAGGACGGAAGTTAAAGTAATTCATCCTAAGTTTGGGATTAACTTTGAATTTTTGATAAAGCCTAGCTTTTGATAGAAGGTTAGTAAATGTAAGTTGAATAAAAGGAAGAAAGGAAGGGAGGGAGGGAGAAAAGGAAGAAAGAGGGGAGAGAAGAAAGGAAAAGAAGAAGAAGTGTAGGTGAATAGAAGTATAGAGACAGAATGTTTAAGAAGCCCAGCTGGGTAAATTTGGGAATTATCCCTGAGAGGCAAGGATAGTTCATCATAGATGAATCAATAAATGCAATATACCACATGAAGAGAATGAAGGATAAAAATTACACAATCATTTCAATAGATTCAGAAAAGGCATTTGGTAACATTCAACATCGTCTCATGATGAAAACTGTCAACACATTAGGTATTGAAGGAACATACCTCAACATCAAACAAGCCATACATGGCAAGCCCACAGATAGCATCATACTCGAAGGTAAAAAGCTGAAAGCTTTTTCTCTAAGATCAGGAGCAAGACAGGGATTCCCACGTTCTCCACTTCTATTCAACATAGTGCTGGAGTCCTAGACAGAGCAATTAGGTGAGAAAAAAAAGTAAAAGGCATTCACATTAGAGAGGAAGAAGTAAAATTGTCTTTGTGTGCAGATAGCATGATCTTATATACAGAAAACCCAGAAGACTCCACCAAAAATCTGTTAGAACTGTTGAATGAAGTTAGCAAAGTTGCAAGATAGAAAATCAACATACAAAAACCAGTAGCATTCTCTACATTAAAAATGAACCACCCAAAATAGAAATTAAGAAAACAATCCTGTTGTAATAGCATCATAAAGAATAAAATACTTAGGTATAAACTTAACTGAGGTGGTAAAAGCTCTATATACTGAAAGCTAAACAACTATGATGAGAAAAATTAGATAAAAATAAATGGAAAAGTATTTCATGTTCATGGATTAGAAAAATTAATATTGTTTAATGTCCACACCACTCAAAAGGATCTACAGATTCAACACAATTCCTATCAAAATTTCAGAGGCTTTTTTTTCAAAGAAATAGAAAAAGGAATCCTAAAATTCATAAGCAATCACAAAGAATTCTAATAGCCAAAGCAATGTTGAGCAAAAAGAACAAAGATAGAGGCACTCTACCTCTTGATTTCAAATTTCATTACGTGCTATGATAATGAAGACAGGATGGTACTGGCATAAAAAAAACAGACCCACAAACCAATGAAATAGAATAGAGAGCCCAGAAATAAATGTATACATATATACAGTCAATTAATTTTTGATAGGGTGCCAAGAATACACAATGAGGAAATGATAGACTCTTCAATAAATGGTGCAGGGAGAACTGAATATCCACATATGGAAGAGTGAAATTGGATCCTTGTACCATATAGAAAAATCAACTCTAAATGGACTTAAGATTTAATCATAAGACCTGAAAGTGTAAGACTCCCAGAAGAAAACATCGGGGAAAAGTTTGTTGTCATTGATTGGTCTTGGCAGTGTTTTTCTGGATATGACACCAAAAGCACAGACAACAAATGTCAAAATAAACAAGCAAAATATACCTAACTATAAAGCTCTGCACAGTAGAAGAAACAATCTACAAAATAGAAAGGCAACCTAGAGAATGAAAAAAAAGTGTGCAAGTCATATATCTGATAAGGGATTAGCATCCAAAATATACAAATAATTTATACAAATAGCAAAAAAAAAAAATCAAATAACCTGATTATAAAAGGGATAAAAGACCTGAATAGGCATTTCTCCAAGGAAGACACACAAAAGATAAACAGGTTCATGAAAAAGTGCTCAACATCACTAATTATCAGTAAATCAAAAGCACAACGAGATATCACCTCACACCTGTGAGAATGGCTATTATTCAGAAAAAAAAAAAGATAAGAAGTGTTAGTTACTGAAGATGTAGAGAAAAAGAAACCTGTGTACATTGCTAGTGGAAATACTGGTACAGCCATTGTAGAAAACAGTCGGAGGTTTCTCAAAAAAAAGTAAGCATAGAAACATCAAATTGTCCAGCAATTGCACTTTGGGGTATATATCCAAAGGAAATAAAATTAGTATCTCTAAGAGATCTCTGAACCCTGTGTTTGTTGCAAAGTTATTCACTACAGCCACGACGTGGAAACAGCCTCAATGCTCATTGGTGGATGAATGGATAAAGAAAATGGGGCATATTTGTACAAGGGAATATTATTCAGCCTTTAAAAAGAAGGAAATGTTGTCATTTGCAACAACATGGATGAACCTGGAGGACATTATGCTAAGTGAAATAATCCAAGCACAGAAAAATACCACATGACTTCATTTATATATGGAACCTAAAATAGTTAAATTCATAGAAGCAGAAAGGAGAGTGGTGATTACCAGGGGCTGGGAGAAGGGAGGAACAGGGCATTGATGGTCAAAGGGAACAAAGTTTCAGTTATGCCAGGTGGATGCGGTATGAGCTCTACTCTACAGCATAGCACCCATAGCTAACAAGACTGTATTGTGTACTTAAAATTGCTAAGACAGTGGATCTTATGTGAACGCTTCATAAAACAACAAACAACAACAACTTAACAATAATAATAACGGGGTGGAAGAAAACCCTTGGAGGTGAGGGATGTGTTTACCACCCTGATGATGGTGCTGGTTTCACTGGTGGATACTTATCCTCAAACTCATCGAGTGCAGACACTAAACTTGGACAGGTTTAATTTTATGATTGCATGCCAATCGTACCCCAATCAAGCCATTTTTAAAAAGAAATAAATTAGGAAAGTAAAAAAAATAAAAATTAAAAATTACAAAAGCCCAGTGGGTTGGCTCTACCACTTCCTAGGAAACCAACTTATAGAGCCTTTCTCTAAGTTTCAGTTTCTTCACCAGTAAAATGAAGATTATAGACATATCTTTATTTCAATATTGTTTGAAAGCTTTCATGGGATAATACACAATTCTTAGCCCTGCTGATTGGTACACAATAATTTGTAACTGTTGCTTCTATTCGTATGAAGAAGAAGAATAAATGAAATAATTATTGTTGTCTTAGAATGCATATTTTCCAGAAGAATAATTTTTTAACAGTACAGTCCCACAGCAGTGAAAAGGAAATATATGTCTCAAGGTGGACTTTTAGTAAAGGTGCAGAAGCAAGTAAATGGGAAAATAATTTTGAATGATTGAAGAAGACTTTTCTTTTGCATCCTTCAACTCCAGGTAGATATAATGAGGTCATCCCTGAGAAGAAAAATGGCATTAAACCAGTCAAATGTGCTCTACTTAACAGCTCCAGCCAAAGATTTGAGGAGCTGACACTTTACATTATTGACGAAAATATAATTCTGTGATTGTGGGTAGATATTGTATAACTTTCTATCTTCCTGGATCTCAGAACCCAGAAAATGCTTCAGGAGTTGCTTCATGTATATTAATTGGTAATGATGAAAATTACCTAGAGTTCTAAATGTCCTCAGTATTGTAACTTCTGGTCCCCTACTACGAGGCTTTCATGGAATAAAAAGACTTCATTTTCTGTTTTCCTTACTTTTCTTCCCAGTTTATCATGCATCTTTTTTTTTGTTTGTTTGTTTTTTGTTTTGTGGTCGTTGGTTTTTTTTTTTTTTTTTTTTTTTTTTTTTTTTTTTTGAGACAGAGTCTTGCTCTGTTGCCCAGGCTGGAGTGCAGTGGAGCCATCTCAGTTCACTGCAACTTCCACCTCCCAGGTTCAAGCAATTCTCCTGCCTCAGCTTCCCAAGTAGCTGGGATTACAGGCACATGCCACCACGCCCAGCTAAGTTTTTGTATTTTTAGTAGAGATGGGGTTTCACCATGTTAGCCAGGCTGGTCTTGAACTCCTGACCTCAGGTGATCCACCCACTTCAGCCTCCCAAAGTGCTGGGATTACAGGTGTGAGCCACCGCGCCCGGTTCATCTGTGTTTTAAATACAACAAATCCTGCTGCCTCAGTGGTGTGTACTCTTCCTGAAGAGTTGTCCACGCAGGGCTAATGCATCCTGGAGTTCAGAACATGCACCTTAAAATACACCATGTTGGCATGTTGATTATTTTGAGTTAGAAGAAATTGAGAACCAGCTGACACAGAAAAAGTTCTTTATCTCCCTTTCAGCTGTCTGAAATGAAGAAGAAACTTCCCCTTTTGTAAAGAAAATTTACATTTATAAAGGAAATTCACAGTAGTTAAGGTATATATACCAGGAAGAGAACCGCTCTCAGACAACTTTAAGCACCTGAGAAACTCTTAATCTGCGTCACCAGGCAACCTTTCTTCACCGGAAACCCCCTCTCGCCCAACCATAATTTGCCCCTCCCACTCCCCTGGAAGCCCCCAACCCCCATGCACATCTGTGGCTCAGGGTCATAGATAAATCCCACTCATGTGGCTGCTTCTTTCAGTCTCCTATTTTTGTGGGATTTCCATGCATATGTACATCATTAAAATTGTTTCCCCTTGTTAACCTATCTTGTATCAATCAAATTCTTAAACTAGCCACAGGACCTAGAAGGGTAAGAGGAAGCAATTTTTACTCCCCTAAAAGCCCAAAATGCCCACATCTAGAGGCCCATTAGCCCAGGATCTCTGCAGACAGGGGAAGGGGTCGTCCTGCATTGATTTCCCTCCTCTTTCTTTGCATCCATCTGCTGATTTAGTTTAAGCATTAATGAAAGGCATCCTATCAAACTCAAAGGAGAAATACAGTCAGTGGTTTAAGAAATGGATTAACTGAAGCATCTGCACACAAAGAAACTTCAAATGTTGATGAGTGACTCATTTAATACATGTTAAGTAACGCCCTTTCTCCAACTGCTAGAGTAGAGGATGGGAACTTGATGCTCCCTTTCACGCAGAAACATCATTTGACCCAGAGACCACAGCTTTTCTCAGCAGTGCACCCCAAAGATATTTTACCCCAGATGTTAACATTTGAGCTGCAGAATGCTCAGCACATTACGGGTTCCACCGCAGTTCCTGCCTGAAATTGCCAATTATGTAGTCCAAAACACAAATCTACAAGCAAACATTTTCCATCAAATGCACTCTATTAGCCTACTTCATTGGAGTCCATTTTTTTTCAATTTTAATAATCCATTATGAACAATGATCAGTTATACAGAGGCTATTTACAATGTTTATGAAATGTTCAAAGCCTCGTCTCATAGTGCATTAGCAGTTCACCAGCTGGGTTCCTGTTGACAGCCACCAATTAATGGAATACCTCGAATAAACTACAGATCATCCCTCTCATGGCATGTATGGGAATGGCCATTATGAACAATGCTACCAGTGCAGGTTTAAAATTGGTATGTTGCATTTTATGCACAGAGAACATCCTGAGTTTGAGGAGGAGCTTTATGTTTATTTATTGATAGAACAAAAGTAGCCTAATATATTTTGGCTACTTAAAAATAATTACCACTTCCACTTACCCTGGTAAATAGGGTGGTGGGGAAGTCTGAGGTTAAAGTGCGTTCACTTCACCTCCTGGAGAGCTGCCACCCCGGGTTCTTCATTTCTCCCATCCTTTGTAGCCAAGTGGCCATGTCCTCTCCTCTCCTTAACAGCCCAGGAGGGCTAGAACTTGCTCTCCTTAAAGGAGAGAGAAGTGAGAAGACCCAGAAGCAACCTGGGCTGCATCAGGATTTTCAGAGAGCAGATGTCATCTGTAAATAATGACAAAGCCTCTGAAACCACCCCATGCTTCTTGGTCTGTGTGGAACCCGGAGGCTCCTAGCCCTCTGCTCAGCTCACCCATCCCCTAAAAAGGTCTTCCTCTAGAATGAACGAGCTTCTCCGTGGGAACCCGCAGTGCCAACATCCTAACATTGCATTAGCAAGTCTGTGGCAGATTTTTGTTGCTAAAAATCTCAAAGATTTAAGGGCTCCTATTATCTTCACCCTTCATTCCCCCAATTTGAATCCATTGGTGCAATTCAGGGAGCCATATTACAGACTCTTCTGAGGTCATTTTTATGTTCTCTTTTAGCAAATTTTTAAATAATTTTAAAAATATATTGTAGGAAGAGCACTGGGTTAGGGTTGAAGACCCTTGGGCTCTAAATCTAGCTCCACTTTCTGACCTCTGCAAGCCTCACTTTTCTGAGCTGTGGAACAGAAATAATAATACCTTCCTAGTCAACCTTCCAGGATAGTCATGAAGAGCAAATGCAAAAATGTGTACATGAATGCTTTGAAAAATCAAAAGCATCAATAAATGTAAAATGTTTATGCTCTGTCTTCCAACATGTCCTCTCAGAAGTCTCAAAATGTTCATTAAATCAACCTATACTTTCTTCACATAAAGAGGTATCCCTGCCTTCCAATGCTACCTAGAAACTGTAGAAGTTAAAATGGAAATAGGTGCATATGGGGTGGAGATAGGAAGCTGGTCCCCCAAAATCCCATTGCACATCACTGACTTGATGAATCCACGCTTGGGGCTATTCTTCCACCATGTGGGATCCAGTACCCGACTGGTCAGAAAGGGCAGACTCACATCAACAGACTCATTGGGGCTGCAAAAAATAAGTAAATCTCAGGAACCCCAAATCACTAAGCCAAAGGGAAAAGTCAAGCTGGGAACTGCACAAAGCAAACCTGTCTCCCATTTTATTCCTAAATGAAATTGCTACAATTTTTTTTTTAAAAAAGCTACCCACCTCCCTCACAATTTACCCACAAGGAAATTCCTTTTGGGCCTCAAGATCTTTACCCTAAAACAGTTCTGTTGAATTTCAACCTGGCAATGTAAGTTGCTAGCTTATCTTCACAGGTGTGGGACAAAGGACAAGCAGACCTCAAAGTCATCCCTCTGCTCACCTGAGACAAATGCACATCTGACGGCTTCCTCTGACCTACTGTTTATCTAAAAATGCAGATTCACTGAGCCAGAATAAGGTATCAGTGACTATTCCTCTACACCACTCTCACGCGTAAAGTGCGTGTTCACTGAAAGGCTGATCAAAGACCCAAAAGAATGCAACCTTTTGTCTCTTATCTATCTATGACCTGAAAGACCCTACTTCGAGTTGTCCCACTTTTCTGAGCCAAACCAATGTACATCTTACACATATTGATTGATGTCTCATGTCTCCCTAAAACCTATAAAACCAAACAGTGCCCCAACCATCTTGGGCATACGTCATCAGGAACCCCTGAGGCTGTGTCACCAGCATGTCCTTAACCTTGGCAAAATAATCTTTCTGTATTGACTGGGACCTGTCTCAGATACTTTTGGGTTCACAGGGTTGGACCTGTTACAGATACTTTTGGGTTCACAAGGTGGATCCTTGTCTTACTGCCATAAATTTCCTCTTTGGAACCAGACATGAGGTCCTATTATCCTGGAGCATGGAGATGGACGCTATTCAACAGTTGTTTAGTGGACAATTTGTGTGAGAAATGGAAATTCTTGGCTAAACAGTAACTAGGCTCAGCTGGGGGAAACCGGAGGCCAGGAGGATCATGGAAACACACCTTCCACCAGAACCATGCCCTCTGCCCTAGAGGTGATGGCCGGCTTCCCGACGGTATTTAAGGTATTCCTTTCCTTAAATACCACCGACATGGACCCACCAAACTTCCTATTTTATGCCATTCTTAGGCCATGATTATGGGCCACAGTTTTTAGGATCCGCTCTGTGTCTTTGAGGTGACTCATCAGTGAGGGGTTGATTTCCAAATCTTACCTCTCAGAGAACAATCACGAATTGCTTGTTTCCAAGTCTCAGAAAAAGAATCCAGAATAGAAAGAGAATACTAATTGATTATAAAATTCCAAGCTGTCAGATACTACCAAAAAGTACAAGACAGGACTGCTATGCACCTATTGCTACAGCCAAATTCCAGAACGCTGACAACGGCAAATGCTGCCGGGGAGGTGGAGCAACAGGAACTCTCATCTGTTGCTGGTGGGAATACAAAATAGTGCAGCCAGTGTGGAAGCCAGTGGGGCGGTTTCTCATAAAACTAAACATACTCTCGAGCTATGATCCAGCTACTGCACTTACTGGTATTTCTCCAATGAATTAAAAACTCATGTCCACACAAAGACCTGCACAGGGATGTTTACAACAGCCTTATTCATAATCACGAAAACATGGAGAAAACCAAGACGTCCTGCAGTGGCTGAGTGAATAAATAAACAGTGGAACATCCAGGCAATGGAATATGATGAAAGGAAATGAGCTGTGAAGCCTTGAAAAGGCATGGGGGATCCTTAAACGCACATTCCTAAGGAAAAGCCAATCAGATACAGGTGACTTCTGTATGATTCTAACTCTAGGACATTCTGGAAAAGGCAAAACTGTAGAGATGGTAAAAGGTCAGTGGTTTCCGGGGGCTGAAGGAAGGATAGATGAATAAGTAGAGAACACAGGGTTTTTAGGGCCATGAGACTTCTCTTTAGGCTACTGTAATGGTGGATCCATGTCATTATACAACTGCCCAAGCTAATAGAATGTACGACACCAAGAGTGAGCCTCATGTAGGCTGTGGACTCCGGGAGGTGCTGATGTGTCCACGTGTGCTCATTGATCGGAAGAAAGGCACTCTCTGGTGGGGGAATTGATAGCTGGGGAGGCTGAGACTGGGCCTGTGTGGGGACAGGGGGTATAGGGGAAGCCTCTGTATCTTCCACTCAATTTTTCTGTGAACCTAAAACCATATTTTTTAATAATTTTTTTTTAAGTACAACAGGCCAGTCACGGTGGCTCATGCCTGTCTTTGAGAGGCCAAGGCAGGTGGACTGCTTGAGCTCAGGAGTTCAAGAATAGCCTAGGCAACATGGTGAAACCCCATCTCTACTAAAAATACAAAATAATAATAATAATAATTGTAATTATAACCAGTCATCGCAGCACACTCCTCTAATCCCAGCTACACAGGTGGTTGAGCGGCCAGATCACTTGAACCTGGGAGGCGGGGGCTACAGTGAGCGAAGATCATGACACTGCACTCAAGCCTGGGGGACACAGTGACACCTTATCTCAGAAGAAAGAAAAAATGAAGAACAAAAGGACAAGAAAGGAAAACTCTAACATATTCTTAAAATTCTGACTTCACTTTTACTTTGTAAAGTGTCTTAATTTTTTATTTTCTGCTTCTATGTTAATGGGATCATAGGCCTGTCATTCAGGGAAGACACATCCTGCTCAGGCCACAGGCCACCAACATCTCCTGCCCCTGGAAGCATCTCAGGTTCACCTGCTGGGAGAAAAATAAGTAGAGAAGGGTTTCAGACACACGTCCTGTGCAACATACAAGACTTAGAAATGAGTGTTTGCTTGGTTTTTATCTCCCCATGATGGGGCTGAGCTGGGAGAAGGATTCCTGGAAGCTCTACTCAGTTAAATGTATTTTCTGACAAACTCAAACTGTATTTTACTGGATTCTTCATCCATAAAATTAGGTGGTTAGACTAGATCATCTCTAAGGGATTTGCCAGCTCTAAAGTGGTGCAATTCCATGATCTTATGATGTGGTGCTGAGGTTTTCAATTACATTTCGCTCAATACCAATACGGATTGTCTAGCATCCATGTGACTTGTCACAAGAAAGGGGCATTCTGTAGTATCCAAGCCAAGCCCAGTACTCAGCTTCATTTATTCCATGGCCAATTTACCCAACATTTCATTCAGCCAGATAATTTTCTGCAAAACCTAAGTTAAGAAAATGTAGCTCAGTAGAACTCAAAATAATTAGGAATGCCCAAAGTCAGTCTCAGTGTTGGATTTTGTGCTTATCCATTTGAAAATAATCTTATTTGCAACTTATTTCAATGTCAGGACAACAGCAACAAATTCTCTTTATATATATATATATATATATACACACACACACACACATATTCCACTATATATTTTTATATATATAATATACATACATACACACGCAAACATATACACACACGTGTATGTCTAAAATTAGCATACAGCACACCACTTTACAATAGCATTGTATGTATCTGACATTGCATTTATCTGTTCTAAGAAGCTAGGCAAAAAAGATACAATGTTCAAATGTTGAGCACTTTTCTTTTATTTATTTATTTATTTTTTGTATTTTTAGTAGAGACGGGGTTTCACCATGTTAGCCAGAATGGTCTCGATCTCCTGGCCTCGTGATCCGCCCACCTCCACCTCCCAAAGTGCTGGGATTACAGGCGTGAGCCACCACGCCCAGCCTTGTTGAGCTCTTTTCTAACAGCTAAAGTCTTACTAGAGTACATTAATAACATTAGACATAAAAGGTTACATTTTGCAATAGCAAATTTGTATTTAACTTTTGTTCTCAGTACTTTTTTTCCTCTCTGTAAATTTAGCAAGAAGGGACCACCCAAAGTCATCTAACTCATATTTAGTGTATTTGGCACAGACGTGAAAACGTGACCTATGTGAAGAAATCCAGCAATGGGGGAGGGGTGGAAACTCCATCTCAGTGGTTCACAAACTCAACAGCAGGTTCAAATCTCCCAGGAGCTTCCGAAAGCAAAGGTTGCCACCTAGACCAATTGAATTGAAATGTGTGGAGGCAGATGTCAGGCTTTAGCAGTTCCCAAAGATTTTATTACTATCACCCTTATTTTACAGATGAGAAAACTCAGGCACAGAGAGGATGGTTAACTTTTCCAAGGCCACAGAGCATGTAAATGGTATAACTGGGCTTCAAATCCAGATCTAACTCCAGAACCTGTGTTCTTTACTGCAATGTCACACTGTCACTCGTGCACACTCATTGTAGGAAAATCAGAACATACAAAGTGCTAAAGTGCCAATGCAAATAAAATCACTGTTAATATTTTGGAGTACATAATTCCTAAGTTATTTCCTCGTGGAGGGGCTTGTACATAAAATATGCTAACAACAGAGCTCCAAGCTCTTGGCTACTATATGCTAAATATATAGAGATAGATAGGTTTATTTCACCATACATACTGTTTTGCAATGTATGTTTGTAACTACATTATATTATGAATAACTTTTTTGATGCATTTTTGCAACATGACTTAAATGAATGCAATGTTTTTGATTATATGGTGCTGTGCTTTTAAAATATTTCTTCAAATTGTTTGAAATATCTCCCTTTTAAGAGGAGCCTGATTCTACTCCTTGCCTTGGGTGTGGGCTGGATTAAGTGAATCATTTCCAAGGAATAGAGTCTGTTGGAAGTCAAGATGTGTGACTTTCAAGACTGGGCTGTATAAGGCCTTAAAAGGCTCTCTCCTTGATCTCTCTCTCTCAGATCACTCTAAGGGAAGGCATGAGCCCATGCACACAGCCCTATGGAGAAGTCCACCTGGCCATGTGGCAGCCACCATCACCAGCTTGTCAGTTACATACTTCAGTGCACTCCCTCACTAGGGAATCCACCTGCCCCAGTCAAACCTTCAGATGACTGCAGCCCAGGCTGTGTCCTGATGGCAACCTCATAGAAGAACCTGAGCCCAAGCCACATAGATAAACTTCTCCTGGATTTCTCACCCTCAAAAACTGTATGAAGAAGAAATGTCAATTTTCTAAGTTGCTGTACCTTGGGGCAATTATTTACACAGCAATAAATAACTGATACAAATAAATATACTATGATTTATTTAACCAATCTACCATTGTTAGACATTTGAATTTTTCCCATTTCTTCATAGTGCCAAATACAATGATATGAAAAGCTTTGAGTTTATAAATACTTATATCCTTGGACAAATTTCCAGAAAACCCTTGCTGGATTAAATGTCCTACATACTGATATGCTTGTGTTGCTGCTGTTGCTTCTATATCCCTCCCTAGGGAGATTTTGCATTTTATAGTCTCCACAGCGAGGCATAGGAATGAGCGTGTTCTCACTTCCTCTCTGTGGTCAGCAGAAGAAAGGCCCCTCCAAGATGTCCACGTCCTAACTCCCAGAGCCTGTGAATATGTGACATCACATGGCCAAAGGGACTTTGCCAATGTGATTCAGCACTTTGAGATGGGAGGTTATCCTAGATTAATCTGGATTGATTTTTATCTGGGTGGGCCCAATGTCATCACCAGAACCCTTAAAACTAGATGAAGGACGCCTGTAATCCCAGCACTTTGGGAGGCCGAGGCGGGTGGATCACGAGGTCAGGAGATCGAGACCATCCTGGCTAACATGGTGAAACCCCGTCTCTACTAAAAATAACAAAAAAATTAGCTCGGGCATGGTGGCAGGCGCCTTAGTCTCAGCTACTCGGGAGGCTGAGGCAGGAGAATGGCGTGAACCTGGGAGGCAGAGTTTGCAGTGAGCCGAGATCGCGCCACTGCACTCCAGCCTGGGCGACAGAGCCAGACTCCATCTCAAACAAACAAACAAACAAAAAGTAGATGAAGAAGACAGAAGATGAAGCCAGAGGCACGTGACCTGAGAGCTCAGTCCACTGGTGCTGGCACTGAAGAAGTAGGAAGGGGCCATGAGCCCAGGAATGTGGGCAATCTCTAGATGCTAAAAAATAAAAGGAAATGGGCTCCCCCTGGAGCCCCCAGAAGGAACCATGTTCTGCCGACACCTTGACTTTAGCCCAGTGAGATCGATGTCCTGCTTCTGACCTCCAGAACTTTGAGAGTGTAGATCTTTGCTGTTTTCAGTCAGTACCTTTAAGATAATTTGTCATAGCAACCATAGAAAATTAATGTACCAAATACACTCACTAACAGATCTTCAGTTTTTTGTTTTTTAATGTTCAACTTTAATAAGCAAAAAGAAGAAAGTTCGTCATATCTTGAACGACAAACTGTCTTGGTTGCTAAATTACTGGAAACCTCTTCCACAAAGCTCTCTAGAAATCTTTCTGTCCCGCACCTAACATAGTAACAGTCCGCTCTCAACAGTGCACTTGGTCTACAGTAACATGTCTGTGACCTTATTAAAGTTTTTGCTGTTTGTTGTTATTGTTTTCGAAGGTTATTTATAATTCTAAGGCTCCTTTTCAGTGAGTGGCTGTTGTAAACAATAAGACAGAGTTTCAAACGAGACTTCGTGTTTTATAAAACTGCATTGCAGCAAAAGAGAAGGAAAGTAACGGGTTTGGAAACCTCTGCATTCCTCTTTTCACACATCTACTTTACAAGCTTTGTTTTATATTTGAGCACAGCCCGAGGCCCCCTCCAAGATTGCCCTGAGGTCAGCAGGGAAGAAACAGGGAGATGGGAGCTCCTGGTCCCCAGCAGGGCAGAGAAGAAAACCCTGTAGCCATCCAAAGGGCTGCTTGAAGGAAACTGAGAATGTACAATTAAAAGGAAGCTCAATGTTTGTCCAGAAAAGCATTAAGAGTCTCTTTTGTTGAAACTTTAACATTCTTTCTCTAACACTGGTATGCAGTGTTGGAGAAATGAAACAATCCTGCCAATAAAAGAATGCTCTGCACTAATAGAGGAGAGAGAGAGAGAGAGAGAGAGAGGGAGAGAGAGAGAGAGAGAGAGAGAGAGAGAGAGAGAAATAGAGAGATGGGGGACGGGAAGGGGAGAAACCATTTATTATAGAACAATTTATCATCAAATTTACATGCATAGAAGGTAGCACAGAAGTGATGATAACTAAGTTGGGACAGAATTACATTCAAATTTATACAGTAAAGTGGAAGAAAGAACAATTACGCTTCTCCAATCTCCTTGAGAGACGGAAGGGTGGGCCTGATGGTCTCCTCTGAGAATCCCTGAGCTCATCCCAGAGGCACCTGCTTACAGTCCCTGGGGCGAGAGACCTGGCATTGCAAACTCAAAAGGTGGGGTCTCCTACCGGCCTATTATGTTGTCAAGGACGCAGGCTCACAGGGGTGGGGAGACCATCATTTATGCCCATGGTGCTACTGTTTTCTTATGAAAATGCTCTTTACTCATTACTGATTACTTCATTACCCAGCCTAAATGAATCCGATGCTTGATTTAAATAAACACTAGAACTCAGAGTGTTAAATGCCGCTAATATCCTTAAATTACTCATCAATTTTGAAATAACTACCCTCTGAGAAGGATTTCCTTGACAATTCTCCGGTAACCAAGTCTATACTTCTCTTGAGAAGAGCTTTAGAACGACCTCTATTTAATAGTAGCCTGGGTTCTATTTTAATTAGGCTATAAGCGGTAAATATTTGCTAATAGACTTTGGGGTGAATAATTAATCAGTAAAAGACTGCTATGTACTGACGATTTATATGAACAAACTAGTGGATCAGATTCAATAAAGGCTTAGTGAAAGCATTCCTTTCTAACCTAATTGTTGAAAATTTAAGATCTCTACAGAACTGTTACTTAAAAAGATTGTGTGATTTTTCTCTAAATATTTATTTCCATTTCAATAGCTTGCATAAAGAACTATTTTGTTGTCTTAGTCCAAATGACTATTCTGTCAAAACATAATAAGTAAGTTAGAACTAAACAGATAATATATTTTATCCTTTTGTGGTACTTGAGCATGTTTCTGCTAGAAAACTATTTAAAAGAAGCTACGTTTCACTTTATTCTTCCAGTAGATAAAGGTGCATGTCCTGGAAGTCCAGTGATTTTCTCTAACAGCTTTATGGAGGTCTCGTTTATATACCATAAAACTCCCCCATTTTAATTGTACGGTTCAATGATTTTTTAGTAAATTTACAAAGTTGTGAAACCATTACCACAATCCAATTTTACAATCACAAAAGAATCCCAATTGCCCATTTGTAGTCATTTCTCCTTCCCACCACAAGCTCACGCAACCAGGAATCTATTTTCTGTCTCTTTGGAGTTGCCTGTTCTGGAATATTTCATATAGAGGAAATCGTATACTATGTGGTTTTGTGACTGGCTACCTTCACTTAGCTTAATGTTTTCAAGTTTCCTCCACGTTGTAGGTATTGTAGTCATATCAGTGTTTATTTCTGCACTGCTGAATCACTTCCCATTGTACAGACCTGGTCCGTTTCATTTTTCCCATCACCAGTTGATGAATATTTGGATTGTTTCCCCTTTTTGGCTATCATGAGGAAAACTGCTATAAGCATTTGCATGTAAGTCTTTGTGTGAGTAGATTTCTTGCTTTAGAACTTGTGGGTTTTCTAGAAAGTTTATGTTTAACATTTTATGAATAATTTACATACTGATGGAAATGTACATTGTACTGCCAAACTGTTTTCCAAAACAGCAGTACAATTTATATTCCCATCAGTAATGTACGAAGGGCTTAAGCTTCTCTGCACCTCACCAGTGTTTGTTTGCTATTGTCTGTCTTTTTATAATAATCATTCTAGTGGGTATGTAGTGATATCTCATTGTGGTGTTAATTTTTATTTCCCTGATGACTATTAATGTTGAGCATCTCTATATGTGCTTATTAGCCTTTCGTATTTCTTGTTTGGTGAAATGTGCACTCAATTATATTTACATAGTATTAGATACACACTACTTTAACATCATCTGATACAGAACAGATTTTGAAAATGCATTTGATTATATCTGAATGAACATTTGCTATGTACAATGTGCTTGGCTATTTGCTTTATAACATTAAATGAGCATCTTCTATGTGCAATATATTGAGCTAGCTGCTTTGTTACAAACCAAAAAAAAAAATTTAAGCTCTTGCAGACTTTACAGAAATAACCACATTATAATGTAGATAATTCATTCATGTTGAATGCTATCACAGATAATTAGACAGTGTTTTGTTCACTCAAAGGAAGAAAACAATCTTTTCTCTTGACAGGAGGGAGGTATCCAGAGAGGCTAATGGAAGAGACAGGCTTTGGGATTTATTTGCAGAGAGGTTAGGCATTCAGACATGTGGAAAGAGAGATGAAAGGAAAGTGCACCTGAGGCTGAACAAGTGACTAAAGGAGAAGCCACTGTGCCTGTCGAAAGAACAATGAATAATCCAGGTGAGCAAAAGAGGGGACTTGAGAGAAAGCTGGACAGATTTTGGGAGGCCGAGGCAGGTGGATCGCGAGGTCAGGAGTTCAATACCAGCCTGGCCAACATGGTGAAACCCTGTCTCTACTAAAAATACAAAAATTAGCTGGGCATGGTGGTGCGTGCCTGTAATCCCAGCTACTCAGGAGGCCGAGGCAGAACTGCTTGAACCTGGACCTGGGAGGTGGAGGTTGCGGTGAGCTGAGACTGCGCCACTGCACCACTCCAGCCTGGGCTACAGAGTGAGACTCTGTCTCAAAAAAAAAAGAAAGGTGGACAGAATGGGAGTATAGTACTTTGAAATGTCACACGGAGGAGTAGTTATTTTACCATCAAGAAAGGAGAGCCGATCAAAGACTTTCAGTAATTGAGGGTCATCATTAATTTGCATTATTTTTTGAACTATTTTCTAGAATTGATAGATAAGTAAGACTGGGGAAGGAAGAGAAAGGAAGACACAGCCTCTGAGAGCCGGATGAAGACACAAATGGGATGGAGGCTGCGGCTGTTAAACCATCAGGACTCAGCGGCTGTTAAACCATCAGGACTCAGCAATTATTTCATGTGGAGACAAGTGATGGCAAAGCCAAAAGGCCACGGGTGTTGAGCTGTTGACGAGAAACTGAAAGTGCCATTGTGTTTATACAGGAAGCTGCCATTAGTAGGGATTTGAAAAAGCAAGAGGAGAGGATGAGTTTAGTGGGGAGTTCTTACACTTCAGGTGCTAGTGGATACCACCAAGTCAATATTGAGTAGCAGGAAACCAGGGCCTGATGTTCCGTCAGGCCATCAGGGCGGAGACATTGTGGAGAGGAAGTTTTGAGGCTGTGAGATTAGGAGAGAAGCATGGAGTGTAGAGCAGGAACTAGGCCTCTCTTTACCCAAAATCCAAAACCCCACTTATGCCAGACACACTCAATACTTTCTGCTGGGATCCTCAATTCTCATAAAGTTTTCATAATAAGGCCGGGCGGGGTGGCTTATGCCTGTATTCCCAGCACTTTGGGAGGCCGAGGCGGGCGGATCACCTGAGGTCAGGAGTTCAAGACGAGTCTGGCCAACATGGTAAAAACCTGTCTCTACTGAAAATACAAAAATCAGCCGGGCTTGGTGGTAGGCGCCTACAGCTAGTCGGGACGCTGAGGCATGGGAATCGCTTGAACCCAGGAGGCAGAGGTTGCAGTGAGCCAAGATCATGCCACTGCACACCAGCCTGGGGGATACAGCAAGACTCTGTCACAATAAAAAAAACAAAAAGTTTTCATAAATTGGGATGTTTCCTCTATTCCTTCCCCTGTCTCATTCTTGAGGGATTGAAGATAGTGTTTGAAATCTCACTGGCAACCCTTCCTGCTCCCTTTCCCAGCAGTTCCATGACCTTATCCACTCTAACAAGCCCCGTTTCCTCCCTGCTTCTGCCACTCGCTGAACACAGTACCTTGGCATTGCTGTCCTACATACTCCATTCTAGCCGTGACCGCTCTTCCGGAACACAATCTCCTACTAGCTGCTAGGTCTGAGTGACTAACATAAAATTCTCCCTGGTCTGTCAGTATTTGAAATACAGCCGCTTGTCTTGAAATGTTTATTGTCACTTGTTCTTGGTATAAGATGAGCATTTAAAATACACACACACACACACACACACACGCACGCACATATACAGGTATATCTGAGGGTTTACTATGTGCCAAGAACCATGCTGGAATCCTTTCATAAATATGGCCTCCATCATTCCTGAGAACAATCCTATTAAAATGTGATGTGAATGCATTTTCTCATTCATTAAAAGTGTGTGTGTGTGTGTGTGTGTGAGAGAGAGAGAGAGAGAGAGAGAGAGAGAATATGACATCCATCTGGTAACAGAGACCTGATCTCAGTTTCCCCATCTGGGTACTGCTTATAGAAATTGATTTTGGACTTCAAGGTAGAATATGATGCAAGCTAACCCTAGGGGAACCCTGACAAATTAAAGGGGAAAATGCCTGTAGGGAGATGCCATGCTGAGTCCCCACAGAGCCCAGTTCAGCTGGGGATGTTGCTCTGAGAACATGCAGATGAATGTCTTATTTGTTTTGGGCTTCTTAGACTTCAATCCATTCCAGGAACCCTTTTAGGGTTTACTATGCAGCCAAGTGTAAAATGCATCTGATTTTTAGGAAATTTGCTAAAAGAAGCTATACAACTCATGCCAAAAACCTCTCCACAGCAGCTAAAAGTTCCATTAAAGTATGTCATTAAACACATGTTCCAAAAAGGTTTTGTATCTCATTTTGTTCTCTGGGGTCTACATTTTGAAGTAAAACATCTTCACTAACTTGGGCATTTGATGTTAAAATACTAAAAATAATGGACAAAATTATGACAAGGAGAAGGCAAGGCTGGGACGGGCCACAGTGAATAAAAATTCAATCTGTTTTCCCAAACCCACTGCCATGCTAACTGGTATGTGTCTGCTTCTCTCAGTGATTCTGCGAGCTATGGTCCCAGTGTCCCTAGTGGCAGTGGCATGAAACCATCTCAGGGCCAACCTCCAAGGAAACAGCATTCAAGTGCCTTTACTCACACGGGAGCTGTGAGCCGGGGATTTTCTGCTGCAAGTGACAGACCACCCAATGCAAGCTAAAATTAAAAAGAGGGACTTAGGGGCTTTCATAAACCACTCCAGAGCTAGGCCTAGGTTCAGAAGAGCCATCCAAGGGCAAGTGTATCAGCATCTGTGGTGGCAGCTGCCCTCCAGCGTCCTTCTGGCCTGTCCAGGTGCCCCATTCTGTAGGATCTCCTGTGCTCTCCCCACTGCCCATCTCCACAGATGAGAGGGAGGTCTCTCTCTCCAGAGAATCCAAAACTGCCTTCATGACTCTCTGGGCACTAAGTAGGACACGTTCTTATCTGCAGATCAATCCCTGTGGCCGCCGTGTGGCTTTGTTAACTGACTGACTGGTGACTCCAGTTCAGCCCTGGAGCTGGACTGGGTCAGGGCCCCCAAATTCCACAGGCAAAACATGGGATGTCTCTGCTCCCTGCAGGTCAAATGTCAGTGCCATTCCCAGGAGCACAGGGAATGGAGGTGGGCAGCGCAATCCACACGTGGACGTTTCCAGGGAATACATCCCCTTGGTGGGGGCCAAATGGGTGGGGTTAGGGTAGGCCCTGGGAATGCCACAGTGAGATATCCACAGTCACTGTCTACTGCAGGCTCATTCTCCACTGAGGAGGCCGATGGATGAAGACCTGAATGAGACAAGGAGATGAGCCCTCATGAGAACTCACTGTACAGCTGTACCTCAAATACAGCCACCTCTACTATGAATAGATCTGCTTCCTCTAGATTCACCCCTACTAGGTCTAACTCTATTAGTCCTACTTCCATTAGATCCACCTCTACTAGACTTTTCTCTACCAGACCTATCTCTATAAAACCTACCTCTACTAGGCCTACCTCCACTAGATTCACCCCCACTAGATTCACCACACAAGATCCACCCCCACGAGATCCACCTCCATTAGATACACCTCCACAAGATCCACCTCCATGAGGCACACTCCCACTAGATACACCTCCGCTAGATCCACCTCCACTAGATCCACCCGCACGAGATCCACCTCCCCTAGATCCACCTCCACTAGATCCACCTCTACTAGATCCACATCTACTTGATCCACCTCTACTAGTCCTATCTCCACCAGATCTAACTCTACTAGACCTACCTCTACCAGGCCTATCTTTACCAGACCTACCTCTACCAGGACTACCTCTACTAGACCTACTTCCACCAGGTCTACCTCTATTAAACCTCCCTTTACTCGGCCTACTTACAAGTAATGGTGGGATGTTCATGGGTGCGGAGTGGGAACAGGAAAAGGCACATCTGCTCTTAGTCAGGCATTTTGCAGGTGGACTACATATTTTTGCTTTTACTTCCTCTCCCATCAATCTTATTAGACAGTATGGTTATCTGCATCTTGTACAAAGAAGACTAAGTAGAGAGAAGTTAACTTGACCCAATTTGCACAGCTGGGAGGCACAGGAAGGATGAGAAAGCCAGGTTCACTGGTTTCCACATCCTGTGCATTGGGCAGGCTGATGGCATGTGCAGAAGGGAGCTCAAGACAGATGGGTGAAGGCAGGAGGACTTTGGGTGTCGAGAGCTAGTGGGAGGCTGGGTCACATTAAGTGATATCCAGAAGCAGATATGTGATTGAGAAAAGCCACTTTGATTGGAATATGGCTGCTAGATTATTTGATGCCAAGGCTAGAGACAAGAAGACCATGAATATCTTCAAGCTCTAATTACTAGACTTTGCACAACTCATTTAAGACACAAAACCTTAAAATAATCTTTTAAAATACAAATACCAACCTATACACTCTGTGGAACCTTTTTTCCATATCTCAACGTTAAAAAAAATCTTGATTTTCCTGAAATGTTTAGGTAGACAATTTTATACCCTTCTTATGATGGAAGCTTCCAGCTTTGAGCTTCATTTCAGATTTAGCATTTCAGAGCTAAATGACTGTATTTTGAAACTGCGGAACATACTGGTTTATTCCTTCTTCCTTTTCCTGTAAATTAAGGAGGAAACAGGAAAACACCATCACCTCCTCACTCCCTCCTATTTTACCATTTAGGGTTTTGTCTAATCCTAGAGACCTCACTCAGCTCAATGCCTTCTTTAATACTTGGTTTTCCGTTCCAGGCAACTGAGCCTTAAAAATTATTTCTGTCAGCTGTTTAGACTTCACTGTCTTCCTCCTAACAAATCCCAGATAAAAACAGAACAAAAAAGTAAGAACCAGAAGAGACGTTGAAATCCAAGTCAAGTCCTGTGAATACCTGCCAAGCAGAAGAAAAATGATGGCAGCTCATCTGCCCGCCCCCTCCCTTCAGCATCAGGGTGAAACTCACAGCGGCTGGTGTCCACTGCACAGCACAGCACTGCATCTCACTATTCTCCCGTATCTTATCGTAACAGTAATAGGCTCATTGCAAGCCCAACACGTACTGCACAGCAAGTCCATATGCCAAGACACCAACTTGCAGCAAAGAAAGAGGTTTTGTCTCAGGGACGCAGACAAGGAGACAGGAGGAACCTAAAATCTGTCTCCCAGAGGGGTTTGGAGTTAGGTTTTCCTGTTTCTTTGTTTGTTTGTTTGTTTAAGACAGAGTCTCTATCGTCCAGGCTGGAGTGCAGTGACACGATCTCGGCTCAATGCAACCTCTGCCTCCCTGGCTCAAGGGATTCTCATGCCTCAACTTACCAAATAGCTGGGATTACAGATGCCCGCCACCATGTCTTGCTAATTTTTATATTTTCAGTAGAGACAGGGTTTCACCATGTTGGCCAAGCTGCTCTCGAACTCCTGACCTCAGGTGATCCACCCGCCTCAGCCTCCCAAAGTGCTGGGATTACAGGTGTGAGCCACTGAGCCCAGCTGAGGTTAGGGTTTTTAACGGTTTTGGAGTGGGCTGAGGTGTGGAGACCATTGGTTGAAGAGTGCAGGGTGACATTATGAGACAGGGAGAGGAAGAAGCTGTATTCTCAGACTGATTCCATTACTCTTTGGGGTCTTCAAATTGGTGGACTCAGCTATTTTTCTGGAATTTGAGATCTGAAAAACATCTGAAGCAATTCTTAAACAAAAGCCTTACAGAAATCCTATTTAAAGGACTCCTATCTATAAGAATGTGAATGGTCAGTATCTAGTGCTCAGTGACTTCTGTTTATAAGAAATTGGGCCACAGTGCAGCGTGATTAATGCTTAACTATAACTACATTTCTGTCCAGAATTCTTGTTAACTCTGTGAGGACGGCTTCAATATGAAGAACTTCCTGGCGACTGAAATTTATTTTTTATGGTTCTTTGTTGTTCCTTCAATTTAGGTACCTAAGCCTAAGAAAATTCTTAGAATCATCTCAAATTTCCAGAGCCTCCTGGCTACAACAAATCTTGGTACCAATTTCTGTATCAGTCAAGATTGTCAGTTGCAACCCACAGTAACTTTGAATGATCTAAGAAGAAAATATATCTGTGAAGAGCCATTGCTTGGCTTAGAAAATGGGTAAAGTCAGGCCAGGCACGGTGGCTCACACCTGTAATCCCAGCACTTTGGGAGGCCGAGGTGGGCAGATCACCTGAGGTCAGGAGTTCGAGAGCAACCTGGCCAACATGGTGAAACGGCCCCTCTACTAAAAATATAAAAATTAGCCAGACATGGTAGCGCATGCCTGTAATCCCAACTGCTTGGGAGGCTGAGGCAGGAGAATCACTTGAACTTGGGAGACGGAGGTTGCAGTGAGCTGAGATCATGCCACTGCACTCTAGCCTGGGCAACAGAGTGACACTTCATCTCAAAAATAAAAAAAAAAAATAAAATGGGTAAAGACAAACAGAGATGAATCTGGAGGCACAGCCAACCTCATCCCACAGGCAGGTCTACAGAGACTCTGCTGACGCCATAGCTGCCCCGAGTCCAAATCCTGTGTGTCCAACACCAGAGGCAGGTCACACCCAGCTGCTGGGGTGAGGGACCCTGGCACTGACCGTCCCCACCTCCGCCTCTGCAGCTGCTGAAAGGCATTATCCACCGGCTGGCAGCTTTGTGCCACTAGTTGTGAGTTGGCTCAGGCTTCTAGAACAAAGTACCACAGACTGGGAGGCTTAAGCAGCAGCAATTTATTTTCTCAAAACTCTGGAGCCTGGAAGGCAGAGACCAAGGTGCTGGCAGAGTCGGCTCCTTCCCAGCTGTGAGGAGGAATCTGTTCCAGGCCTCTCCTGTGGCTTGTAGATGGCTGTCTTCTCCCTGTGTCTTTTCACATCGTTTTCCCTCTGTAGATGTCTCTGTGCCCAAACTTTTTCTTTTTATAAGGACACCAGCCATAGGGAGTTACGACCCACGTTAATGACCGCATTTTAAATGGATTACCTCCATAATGACCCTATCTCAAATAAGGTCACATTCAGGGACTGGAGACTAGGATGTCAACACATGAATTTTAGTGGAGAGCCAATTTTACCCATAACATTAGTGGTCAAAATTGTCCATACGTGTTTGTGTGTGTGTCAGTGTATGTAGTGTGTGCATTAGTGCATACATTACAGAAGCCAGCCTAGCATTTAAATCCATTGTCATGTAAAAGAAGATTGCTTCAAGGTAAAAGTCTTGGTCATGAGTACACTAGCTGGTAAAATCTGTGTGTTTCACAGGAATAAGATTTATGAAGCCATGGAGCGTACAGCTGTTAAAATAGATGGAATAAAGCAAAGTCATCTAATAAAAATGTGTGCTTGGCTGTGAAGTGTGAGCCAACTGTAGGGATGCTTCACAGATGTCCTGTGATTTTTTTGTGACTGCTGTAGGTGGCCAAAATGATCCTAATATCTTTAAACAAAGGCATATTGAGGCCCTATTTATGTCTCTCATATTACTTCCAATCTCAGCATCAGCTGTGCAGTCTAAAGGGAGAACCTAGATTCCTAACGTTTTCAACTTTTTAACATACTTTAAAAAAGATAACGTTATTATTCCAGTGAAAGCATTATTCCACCAAAAGATAATGCGCACATAATCGCTATAGGAAGTGTTGATTTTGTGCGCATCTCTGAAATGCTTGACCTGGGTTACAAAGGGAGGCTTTTATTAGAAAGCAGGAACTTAACGCTAAGTCCATGCTTGCAATCAATTCTTTTGTCAAAAAAATGTACATGAAGCAGGCCTGAATTAAGTACAAGATAACATGGCACAGAAAGTCAGGCACATGCTGAGGTCAGGATAAATATCAGAATAACCAAAAAGTTTTGAGCTGGATATAACAGAAAAAAATGGCGGTCACTAATTAAAAGAAAATTGAGGTTGAGGATTGGGAGAGGCACCTTAGTTGGGATAATTCCATCTGGGACCATTCTAAATCCCATCTGCCAATGTCCTGAAAAGATACCTTCTCTCCCTGAAATAATTTAAACAAAATCCCCAAATACTTCATAATATTTGTGCATTTCATTGTCTAGTCATTGCCCAGACAAATATTGACAAGCAGTGGCAAACATGTAAGCATTACTTCTCCACAGGACTTTGCAAAGTCCCTGTTCTAGCCCATTGCCTCCCAGAAATGCCTTCTTCATGGCCCCTGGGGACTGAAGTGCAGGCCACCTTTCCTTCTCTGCCTCCCAAAACGTTACAGGAACTGCCTGGGGGGCAGCTGAACCAATTTTGCAAAACCTAATGTGGGTCAGGGATCAGCTATTTGAGGCTGAAGTTCAAACCTTTCGGTAAACATCAACCCTCCCAACCCTAAAAAGGATATATAGATACATATCCAGAGAAATATGTAAACATGTTTTTCCCTAAGATTGCTGTACTTCCTGTATCCAGTCAACCCAGAAATACCACAAGTTCAACCTTTCTCACAGTATTTTTCCACTTCTCTGGGACTCAGCCAGAATCTCAAAGTGCAGAGATGAGCAATAATCATAAAATCTGGGCCCCTTCCAGGAAACGTGTCAAATGAATTCAAATTATTCTCATTAGCATCACTAGCAGGAATGGTAATAATGGCTTTCATTGCCAGTGTCCTATGAACCAGGATGGCTGGGAAAAGCGATTGCAAAAAAAAAAAAAAAAAGTAACTCTTCTACTTGCTCCAGAAAACTGCACGCCTGGCATCCAGGGGTTTGAGGGTGGCGGAGTCTACATCACTCATTCTGAGAAAACAGAGGCCCAGAGATATTGTCTCAAGATGGTAGCCAGGCCAGGGAAGAGGTCAGAGCTCCTGGCTCAGAGTCCAGGCCATTTTCCACGACTGTACTTAGTGCCCAGCTCAGACCCTGCCAGGAGCCCAGGAGTGAGGACAAGACGCAGCTGCACTCCACCTGCTTTTGCCCCTCTGCAGGCCCCTCCCCTTTACCCGGTGTCATAGAAATTCAGCATTCAGGGGCAGCAACATGTTTCCCTGCGAGCACCCCACTGCTCCATCATGATGAGATGACTGTGAACTGGGACACCTCGCCTTGATTTTCTTATCTGTAGGATGGTGAAAATAATGGGCCCTACTTCACACAGGCTGCATGTCCTACCACGGTGCCTGGTCTCTCCACCATCATTATTTTTCCACGCAAAGCATTTCCTGACAAATTGTGAGGAATACATTGAGAACGCAAGTTCAGTGTGCATCGTCACTAACTGTGCAGGAAGAGCCCCTGGTCTTGGACTCAGAGGCGTTGGTAGGTGGACTCCATTGTGAATATATATATAATATATATTCACCTCCATCACATATAGGTGATTCACATTGCTTCCTCACCAACGACTCAGCTTTGGACATTTCTGGAGAGTTTTGGATTACTGTAGTCCATAAAGAACTTCAACAGCTCTCTCTTCTTAGGTAGATACTTCTGGATTTCTGGCATTTAAAAGAGAATCATCCTAAAAATGGGCTGCATATGAGCTCGTCTTTTCAACACCTTTCAGTGCTCAAGGAAAAAATAACACTCACTTCTTACAGTCTTAACAGCAGAAAGGTAGATCTTTTCAAACGCAAACAAAATAAAATAAGAAACTGTGAAATTTACTGAGTGTATTTGAGGGAACCCTATTACTGCCTAGATTTCAAAATACCAGCTTTGAGCAGAAGAAAAGCCACCTGCCTATGAAGTTCATCTATATGCACTATGCTGAAACAGTCACATATTCTTTCTCCCATAAAAACCTAAAACAGATGATTAATATAGCCAAAGACTGAGTTAGATTAATTAATTTAGCTAATTTGAAATAATCTGGCATGTTGACAGCATCATTTAGTCTCAGCCCAGTGATGAAAAAACGGACTTCAAGAGATTCTTCCCCAGGTGTTTCAGCCTTGGAATCATTTTAATTTCATGTTGATCTAATTAGTAATTCCAATCACAGGGGAAAGGAGGAAAAAAAATACCTTTCCTCAGTTCATGGTCAATAACTTTGTACCCATGTGGACATTAGTGCTCTCCTGCTTCTCACTAGGGGCTGGAAGCCTTCCATCTGATAATGGACGGTAATGGATGGATGGCGGATTTGCACGGCGTGTGGTCCCCAGGGGAGACAGCGGGGCGGGTGACTCAGAGGATGGGAGCCTCGCCCGCCCGGCAGCACAGCCCTCCCCAGCTCCAGGAGCATTTCCTCCTGAAAACAGGAAGCGACCTCGGTTTATAAATGCCCCGAAGGGAACATTTCAGCTGTCTCCTCCGTGATTGTACAAAGAACCAGGCAGAGATCCTGGAAGGTCATGAGGATGGGAAGTGAGTCCGCGGGGGTCGTGTCTCCCCCCGGGGTGCGTGGGGCTCAGCAACACGTGTGGGGCCCTTCTCCCCAAGGCTCACTCTAGGACTCCCGGGAAAGACAGCTTGGGTGAACCTGGGTGTGGCAGGTATTACAGGAAGGAAAATGGGCTGTATGGGTGATAGATAGGAGTGTAGGGGGAAGGGATAGCAGGCGGAGCGGGGAAGGGATGGCGCAGGTGGAGCACGGGCCCCTGCAGAACCATGAGGCCACTAGGTTTCAGAGCCCTCAGGGTCCTACTGTCCCAGAAAGCCTGCGGGTCCAGCACCGGGCTTCTGTGTCTTAGGGCAGCTTTTGGAGGTGCTTCCTTTGTCTGCTAACTTACCTTTACCTTCCTACATTTTGTTTGAAGTCAGAGAAAATTGCCCATTTGGGGGCAACAATGAAGCATTCATCACTCTCCGGAGCTAAGCCATCTCGAGTAGCCCTCAATCAAACTCTGCTATTTTTACCTCAGAGCACAGAGGCCACAGCGGATAAAGGACCCTTAAGGTAGCTCATCTAATTTGTGATGGGGCCCAGGGTTGTAATACATCGTCTTCACGGCCGTCTTCAGGGCCATGAGCCCTGAGCAGGGCTGGTTTCCCATGCGTGTCTGCTTGGGATGGGGAGTTTCATCAGGAAAACCAAGCACATATTAGAACAGGAACAGCAGCTTGGCAGTCAGGGCCCGGACCAAGAATGCAAAGGGGCTGGAGGATCCAGGCTCAATAGTAGCTCAAAAAGGAAGATACACACAAAGCTGACACACAGAGTGAGCCACCGCCGGCACTGAGGTCACGGTACACAGTGAGCCACGCCTGGCCAGGACACGGACACATGGGACACTACCCTCCCTTCGCCCCGCATGCACCACCTGGTCCCGTGCTTCCCCTGGAGCCGCCTCCTTTCCCATCCTCTGCACTCCCTGGTCCACTCAAGTCTCTGCTCTCTCACACTTCCTCCTGAAGCCAGGCTTTCTCAGAATCGCTGGGATCCGCCTCCCCTCTGCAGCTCTGCAGCTCTGCAGAGCTGAGGGCTTTGCTGCCCCTAAAGCGCTAACTACTCACAGAACGATGTCAAGGGCATCTCTCATCGTCCACATCCATCTTTTTTGTCTCCCGCGGAGGGGCTGAGTCCACGCTTTGTGTGGCTTCAGTATTCAGCCCCTGGCTTCCTCACCCGGCCACTGTGAGCTTTCCTTACACAAAACTGGACTGAACTGCTGGGTCAATTCTCAAACCATGCAGAAAAGCAGGGAGGTGCCGGCATTGGCCTGAATTTATCATACTCTTCATTTCCCCGAAGTATGAATTAACATTAGGCCCTGAGATCCACAGCGTATAATCACTCTAAATTCAGATATAATAAGTTATAAAATGTGACTGTGACCTTCAGTAAATATTAAAACAAACAGGCTGGGCGTGGTGGCTCACGCCTGTAATCCCAGCACTTTGGGAGGCCGAGGCGGGAGGATCACAAGGTCAGGAGTTTGAGACCAGCCTGGCCAATATGGTGAAACCCCTTGTCTACTAAAAATACAAAATTAGCCAGGTGTAGTGGCACGTGCCTGTAATCCCTGCTACTTGGGAGGCTGAGGCAGGAGAATTGCTTGAACCCGGGAGGCAGAGGTTGCAGTGAGCCAAGTGCCCCACTGCACTCCAGCCTGGGCAACAGAGCAATACTCTGTCTCAAAAACAAACAAACAACAAAAACCCAAAGACTGTGGGGTTGGTAGTGAAACTAGGACATCATATTTCTTAGGAGAGTCCCTTTATCTAGGGGATATAGTTAAAATAAGACTCAAAAGGATCTGGAGTGTGTGTAAAGGTACGATTGAAAACCAGTGGCTATCATCCCTGCCAACAGTGCTAACATTTACGCTGGCTGGGGGGCCCTGGGAGCCCTGCTTCTTCAGGGACATGAGGCCACACTGACAGCAAGGAAGGCAAACGCAGGAAGCTGGTCCCCACAAGAGTAGAGCATCCACCCACAACACTCCTTGACAGCGGCCAGGGATGGGGGATCTGCACACCGCTCCGCTGAGACAGTACACAGCTCAACCCCTTCCAAGGGCAAGACCTGCGTATTCCAGTCTCGCTGGGATGAAAATCTTTATTTACATTTTCATTTTTGTATTGCCATTTTTCTCTTCCCTCTGCTCTAAAACTTAAAACCCTATCTCAACTGAAGTTAGTGCCTTTTTTAATACAAAATATTTATCCTAATCCTCCTTCGGTCGATTTTGAGGATCATATTAATGCAACAATCAGATAAGAATGGCCCTTATAACACCAAAGCCATCCATTTACTTTCAATTTTAAAGGAAGAAAAAAAAAACCTGACTCATCTGGGGCAGGACTGAGAACCAAGTTACTCCTTTTCACACCTTTTCGTTGTGGATAATAACTGCCCAGCAAGCTTCCGGGCAGGAAGCTGAACAAGAGGAAGCTTGAAGAGTTGGCTTAAGAGCGACTTAGGGGCCACCAGGTAGCTGCCGCCCTTATCCACTGCTGCAGGGGACAGCGGTGGCCACGTCCACAGCCCGGACCCTGGTCCCTTGTGTGCAGACATCATACGTGGGAGGAGGAGGCTGCCTCTGGGTTTTTCACACTTCTGGGCAAAGTCAGGCCCAGTCCCTGGAGTCTGCTGGGGTGGCAAGATGGAGGAGGTTGGGGGCACAGTGTGGCCTCCCTCCATGCCAAGGTGTCCTGATTATACCAAGAGGTGCAAGTGCTATGCTAGCCACGGGGGCTCAGAGCCCAGGGCCCAGGCTAGCCCCTCTCCGGGAGCTGGGCATAGGTATACGGCTCCCTGCTGCTGCAGGCCACGGCCACGCTCTCTGTGAGGGCGCCAGGTGCCACACACTGTTGTCTGCTTTGCCAGCATTTTTTTCCCACTTGCTTTTCCTATCTCTTTCTCCCTAAGCTTAGAAAGGAAAAGGAAGGAAAGGAACCTAATTGGGTGATGTTAGGAGCTAGATCTTGTTCACTCTTTCCATGACCGTCAAGGCAGGAATTATTATTGCACAGATATGTTGCCTACAAGGAGAGAACTAAGGCTCAGAGAGACTGAGGAAGGGCACAAAGCTGCCCAACAGTTCAGTGAAAGAGCTGGGCTTCGGGCTCAGGGCTCAGTCTCTCCGACATCCACGTGGATTTGTTAACAAGTGCGTCTGTCCCGGGAGCACGCCCTGTAGGGCTGCACATTCACACCCTCATGGGCCAGCTGGCGCAGGACACTACAGAATTTTCCAGGCGGCATCTCTGGTCCTTACAGGGCCACAGCCCTGGGACTAAGCATTCACAGTCTTCATCTGAACGCAGCCCTCCCTCTGGGACCCATCATATTCTGGTACTCCAGGCACAGCACTGAGGTCCAGAGCTATTGACACAGCTGAGTGCACACACCTGTCTCAACGACTACCTGCATCCCACCTGCACCCTACCTGAGTCCCTGCTGTGTCCCACCCGCACCATACCTGCGTCCCACCTGCATCCTACCTGCATCCCTCCTGAGTTCTACTTGCGTCCCAGCTGCACCCTACCTGCGTCCCACCTGCATCCCACCTGCGTCCCTACCTGCATCTCACCTGCATTCCCACCTGCGTCCCACCTGGATTCCACTTGCATCCTACCTGTGCCCCACCTACATCCTACCTCTGGCTCTGTGCTGTGCTGCAGGACACCATCCTTGCACAACAGGGTGTGGCCCTGGGACTCCCCTGAGTTTCTCTCCTAGAATGGACACCAGCTATGCCAATCACACTGAACATGCCAATCACACCAATCACACTGACTGCCTGGAGACACCTCTTCCTGGCTCATGCCTGCTAAGAGCTAATTCAAGAGCAAGATTCCATGGTACCTAGAGACCAGCAGTGCCTACTCAAGAGAAGCTCCTGTAGTCCTGACCCACATCGCTCAGTCCCAGATGACAGTGACGAGGAGCTGGGTCCCCTGTCTTGCCGTGGCGCTCTGAGGAGGCCATGTCTTCTGCAGCAGCCACAGCATGATGCCCATCAATGCCCGGAGATTTTGTCTCCTCCTGTGCCATGCAAGGTGGTGCCCATTCAGTACCAAGGTCCTGGCATCCAGCTCCCAGGACTGTGGGCTGCTGAGGCTGATGGCAAGTGCCTCCGTGCAGTGCCTGGGGGTGGCCCTGCAGGGGAGCCCTGCCCAG
Source organism: Homo sapiens (assembly GCF_000001405.40). Classification (NCBI taxonomy): domain Eukaryota; kingdom Metazoa; phylum Chordata; class Mammalia; order Primates; family Hominidae; genus Homo; species Homo sapiens. The sequence goes on along the minus strand of NC_000010.11, from coordinate 3,420,301 downwards.
CTACCACTGGGTCTGGGGGCACAAGCCCCACTCCTCTGCTTCAGTGAGGGCTGCTCTGAAGGGCCCTTCCAGTCCTGAGCCTCCGTGGAAGCTGTCGGGATCCCCTTGTGGGCATTGTCTGCCCTCCACGAGAGCCTCCCCAGAACCTCTGCCTCGGTCTTTTACCAGGAAACCCAACCACAAGAGTTCCCATCAACCTTCACTTGTGTGGTTAACCTCTCAGCCCTTCCTGTCCCTTCCTGTCCCTTCCTCAGCCAGAATAAGCAGCGCAAGCAAAAAGGAGAGAGTGCTGGAGAGGTAGGCAGAGTGGGCTGCGGCATGGAGACCCTCTCACCTTCAGGGGCCCTGCCCAGGTCACCAGCTCCCCCTGAACTCGCGCAGTGAGAAATGCTGACTCAGCACAGGAACGTGGCTATGGGCCACACCCACAGCCCAATTGGATAGGCCAAAATGTAGAAGGGAATAAGGAAATTACGCCTGATGAGTTATCATCCATTTATCTTTATCTATCATCTATCTATTATCTATCTATTATCATTCCAAATCTATCTTTTATTATCTATATCTATTATCTATCCATATCTATCTATTATCTGTATATGTTATCGATCTAAACGATCTATTGTCAATTTAGCCATCATCTACCTAACCTATAACTATTTCATCTATCATCTGTATGTTATCTATTATCTATCGTCTAATTATCTATCATCTATCCTCTGTCTACGCATATACGTACATTCAACAGCATTTTGCATTTATGTAATAGCTATGTTACAAAAATAGAACTATACAAAATATAGTATGAGTTTTGGATTTGATCACAACTTAAGGTCATGAGAACCAACTAAGAATTATTGGCAAAATCTTTGCAAACATAGTATCTCACTTGCTGTTTTGAAAATTATATGGTTGAGGTGATATATATTGTGGATTTCACATAATAAATGTAAAGTTGAACAAACGGTGCTGGTGCCTCTAAGTGGTAGAGCAGGGACCCAAACCCACGTCTGATGGCTCCAAACGCCATTCTCCTTCCACCACACAAGGCCTCGCCTCAGCTGCGCTCTGAATGGACTTGAATTGAATTTACTGGCCGTGCCCAGTTGGGTGGTGTGCAGAATTGAGGAGCAGCCTCGCCAGGGCAGCCCCCATCCAGTTACCCCTTGACGTGGGTTCTGGGGGCACAAAACCAGCCCTGCCTCAGTGGAGCAGCTGTGCAGGGCTTCCCGGACCCCTAGGTGCCCCTGGACATTGCTACCCAACATGTTCCCGCGGACCAGCAGCAAGGGCGGCATCCATGAGCTCCTTACAAATGCAAACTTCAGGCCTCACTCCAGACCCACCGGCTCAGGATCTGCATCTTAACAAGGCATGGCTCAGGCCAAAAATAATTTTAGATCCATTCCTGAAAAAATGCCAAAAAATAGACAAAGCAAAGTATAATAATGATAGTACCAGTTTTTTGAGCATCATTTTGAAGAAGACTGTTTAGTGCAAAAAAAAAAAAAAAAAAAGAAAGAAAAAAGAAAAAAGTCAGAGAAAGGAAATCCACAGTTTTTGCTGAGTTGAAGTGAAACTCTGTTTGACTCTGATTTATGTGCCAGTCATCCTGACCTGCCATACGTTTTGCTTGGCTGGGATGGTGTTCTTGCAGGAGAGACTGCGGAAGTAAATTATTAGCTTTTTAAGTTCTACGGAACAAGAGAGAAAAGATTAAATGGAATGAATACCTGTTGCCTTCATGCCTGAACTATCCATCAAATCTTATCTTGTTTTTTTTACTCTTATCTTGGTTTTTCCTATTAAAGCAAGGGGAATTTTCAACGGCTTCATAAGCTGCTGAAATGGACTGCATAGTCGTCATTAGAAGTGAAGGCCGTGAGAACAACCAGGATTTCAGAAGAAATTCCTTTGCTCAGCTCCTCAGAATCGACACAGATGAAGTTTTAAAAAGCCTGTTATATGTAAACTAGATATTCACCTGGGTGGGGAAGAGGAGAGCGTTTGTCTCGCAATTGTAGTTTTATCATGACATCCCCACTCTGGCTTTCCAATCCCCAGAAACAGAACTGAACAACACTCTTGCGAAAAGTGGCCTTATCATGACAAAATCCATCCCCATGGCCCTGCCAGCTCAAACCATAAACACGGGAGTCGTTCCTAATTCCCTCTTTTTTTCCTTGCCTTCAGTAGTGCAAAGCCATTTGTCTCCACCTCCGAAATCTCTCTCCAGCCCATCTCTTTCCCTTCTGATGCATGGGCTCCCATTTCTCCCTAGACTGCCTTATTTAGCGTTCCTATTAATACATATCAGAGACCTATTTCACAGCCCCACGTACACGCGTGTCTTTTAACCTTATTCTTCACAACTGTTTTTAAAGTCTGTGAGAGAAATTTGATTAGCTACTCCTTTACAAAGTATGAAGAAAATATTTATATCATTAAATATGTAATTATCTTGATTAATAATTTAATAATAAACAATAATTTATAGTTAATACTAATAAATAATTTACAAATATTTACAATTTATAAATAATAAATATTCATTGCTTAATAGTAATATATAATAATTAACTGATAAATTAACAATTTAAATAATTATTTAGATTAACTAGTCACTGTTAATTTGTCTTATATGCTAATCCTAACACATGAGGAATTAATCATTCAGATAATACAAAAATATAATTATTAATATATAACATTAATATAATATTAATATATAATAATATATGATAATAACATTATCTGAGTGATTAACCAATTCCCTGTATGTGTTAGGATTTGCATATAAGACACACCTGCCCTTTTAAGAAATCTGTATGTTGCAGGAACATGACTTACTCTAATGAAGCAAAAAGATTCTAATAGAAGACACTGAGAAATGAGTGTCAGGGTTCACAGAGGTTAAAAAGAAGTGTCTTGGTAGGTCCATGAGAGCTTCCCGCTACAGCGCTGGACTCCAGCGCGATGGGGATTTTGGAGTCTCCCTGCATCCGACAGCTTTCAGGAAGCTGCACAGCAGGAAAAGTAGAGCCCTTACCCCTGCAGGGCCTGGAGTCTGGGTTCTGAGGCAGCTTCTGTTTCTTTAGTTTGTAGGTTCCGAGGAATCAGCCGTCCACCCTCCAAAAGGTCCTAGGCCAGAACACGGGAACGTCTGAATAGGTCTCTGATATTTATTAATAGGAATTCTGGAGGTAGCTGTCTGCTGGAGTCAGTTGGTGTTACTGTCTGTATTCATATATAATAATATAACATTCCAAAAGCTTGTGCCCCCACCTCTGTGCCCTGCACCCTCCCACCCCCTTCCCTTATCCCTCATCCCATAAAGAGAGAGGAAGCAGGTGGAGAACTGACCGGAGTCAGAGGCCAAATGTATCCAACAGCCCTGGGGAGTCACGTTCTGTTTAATTTTGCAATATTCCCAAAGTCGTAAGGACTGAATCTTGGTATTGCTTTTCCCACCTTCTTTGGATTCACTCCGGCCCCATTTCTCTTTCTTACTGAGAAAATATCCTTGGATGTTCCAGAGGATAATGTATTTCTCGGAAAAGCAGACCTGTCTTTAGGAGGGGGTTGATTACAATCGTAAAAGGGATTCTCACCTGTTTCCTCTGCCCTCTCTTACGGTCACTTGGCAGAATCAGAAAACAGTCTTGAAAGGTCTGTCATTTGCTCTGCATCAGGAACTGACCAATCCAACCCCAACCAGCCCAACTTAAGCTATTGAAATGGGAAGATTTAGGAGACGGTATCAATATTCTTATTTGAGCCAACTCCTTTTGCTGTGGGTCAGGATACAATGTCACAGCACTCGATTCGGCTTCTAGACCAGTGGAACATGTCCTCCATGGCTCCCAACTCCCACGGCCAGGTCCTGTTCCCACTGTGGCTTGGGAGAACATGCCAGAAGCACAGCCCACATGGGCCTCCACCACCCAGCAAACCGGGACAAGCTTGGCTGTAGACTCAGGTCTTCTTAAACCCCTGCTCTTCCTTACTTAGACTTCAGAAGATAGGAAATGGCTTTGTAACAGCCACCAAGAGCCACAGCGCCACATGGAATGGAACCTTCTTCTCTGGTTAAAGGAGAAAAAGAGAAGCCTTTTGCTCTGGCCAGCCAGGAGGGACCGGGTTTGCTGATGCCCGGCATTTCTCAGAGCAATGCACCCCGGGGGCCTCAGCCCCACTAAGAAGCCACCTCCATCGAGCCATGGCCTCAGCGTGGGCCCTGGAGATGCCGGCCCCCATCCCCCATGGATCCTCAAGGGGAAGCTCCAAGCGAGAGCCCATAGAGAGGTGGAGCCTCCGTCCATCTCGGGGTTTTCCAGACCTTCGTGATGAATCAAACCACTTTTTCAAATGTGATTTTACCCCAAACGCCAATGTGTAAAAGCAGATAAACACAGAAAGCCATTGTAAAAGTCAAGAGAAGGAGAAGGGCTGTAGGGGGCTGATCGTTGCTTCCAAATTCATCTGTTGCAGCCTGGACCCTTGGTTCCCCAGAATGTGACTGCACCTAAAGAGGTAATTAAGGTCAAAGGAGGCCGACAGGGTGGGCCCTAATCCAACCTTCCTGGAGTCCAAGAATAGGAAATTAGGACACAGACACAGAACGAGGGATGGCCCTGAGGGCTGGGGGAGAGGACACCATCCGCAAGCCACAGGGAGAAGCCGCAGGAGAAACCGGCCCTATGAACAGCTTGATGCCAACTCCCAGCCTTGAGGACCTTGAGACAACCAACACCCGCTGTTTACGCCGCCCGTCTATGGTGCTTTGTTACAGGGGCTTGTTGACGCGAGGCTGTGCCTGTTCTCCTGACAGCCCCTGCTCTCCCCAGACTCTATCCAGGCACCTGACACTCCTTGGAATGCTAGTGTTTGAAACCCACTGATCTAATTCCATCCTCTCATTGTGGAATCCCATTGTGGAGTGTGAGTCCATTCGGTGCTCCCAGCCCAGGGCAAAAAGGACAAGGGTCGTGACAGCCACACTGGCTTCCTGTCCTTCGCACAGCAGTCCAGCAGGATGGCCCGGCTGGGTCCGGGCACACTCGTCCCTGCCAGCTCCTGGGTTCTGTGCTATTAGAGACACAGCCGGGAGCCTCTGGCCCACTCCGCCCCGCCCGTATCAGACATGCTCCTGGGAAGGTGTATCTGAAACCCCATTTGCAGTTCATATCACACCACCTTTGTTACGTGATGCTTAAATCACTTTCTTTTTCTAACTCACAATTAAACTCAGGTGCTTATCTCACCAGATGATTCTAATGACTAATCCTCAAACACATGGAGTGATCTAAATTTTTCTTTTCTCAGACAGGCACAGAGGACAGAGGACATGCTCTCCTGGTGTGAAAAGCTCTGTCGCTCTCTGCCTCGGCTGACACGGGCCGCAGGAAGAGCCTGTTCAGAAGAAGGGAGGAATCGCATGGAGGGATGATTTGACCTTGGCCAGCTGGCTGCTCCGTCGCGACTTCTTTCATGGAAACAGCATCAGGAATTCGATAAGAGAGATAAAGGAGCAGTGAGCTTCCTGCGGCCACAAAGGCAGTTTTCAGAAAGCAGGTTTTAACAACAATGCCACTGGGGTCTCCATGCTGGGAAGAAAAGGAAGGAGAAACAGAGATGTTGCCTGTCCGTCTGGGGCCTTGGGAAGCTGGAATTCCAAATCTAGCCCTGCCATTTAAGTGGAAATCACCCACTCAGCCTTCACGCCCAACTCTAGGGTCTCAGTCTGCTCGAGGCTTCATAACAAATGCCGCAGATGGGTGGCTTAAGCCACAGACATGATCCTCTCCCTTCTCGGGGGCTGGACGTCCGAGATCCAGCTGTCCACAGGGCTGGTTCCTCCAGAGGCCTCCCTTCCTGGCTAGTGGATGACGTCTTCTCCCTATGTCCTCAGTCAGTTGTCCCTTTGCGTGCCTCTCTATGCCTTAACCTCCTCTTCTCATAGGATGCCAGTCAGATCAAATTAGGGCCACTCCAACGGCTTCATTTCAACTCAGTTGCTTTTGTAGTGACCCTGTCTCCAAGTCCGGCCACATCCTGGGGCATGAGAGTTAGGATTTCAGCGCATGAGTCTTGGCCAACCCACCTCAGCCCATGACACCAAGCCCCTGACGCGGTGCCCACCCTCACACATTCCTCCCAGAGCCCCTGTTTCACGAGTGCTCACATTGCAGGCACCCGACTGGAGGAGACGCTCTCACCCATGCGCTGCCAGTCTCTCCTTCCTGAGCCTTACCCGGAACAGATCCTGACCTCTGTTTTTTGTTGTCGTTGTTGTTGTTGTCGTTGCTGTTGTTTTGAGACGGAGTCTTGCTCTTGTTGCCCTAGCTGGAGTGCAATGGCGTGACATCGGCTCACCTCAACCTCTGCCTCCCAGGTTCAAGCCATTCTCCTGCCTCAGCCTCCCAAGTAGCTGGGATTACAGGCATGCACCTCATGCCCGGCTAATTTTGTGTTTTTAGTAGTGGTGGGGTTTCTCCATGTTAGTCAGGCTGGTCTCGAACTCATGACCTCAGGTGATCCACCCACCTCGGCCTGCCAAAGTGCTGGGATTACAGGCGTGAGCGACCGCCCCAGCCTCTGTTTCTTCCTTATGGGCCTGGCATGGAGCAGCTGGGGGCCTTTCTGATTGATGCCTTCAGGTCCACCCCGAGACCCTCAGTAGGTCCAGCACACTAAAGTCTGGTGGATCTGTGCACTGAGCACAAACCTTATTGATTTATTCGTTTATTTCTTTTTGAGACAGGGTCTCACTCTGTCACCCAGGCTGGAGTGCAGTGGCGCAATGAGAGCTCATGGTAACCTTCAACCCCTGGGCTCAAGCAATCCTCTCACCTCAGCCTCCCACATAGCTGGGACTACAGGCATGCACCACCACACCTGGCTAATTTTGGTATTTTTTGTAGAGATGGGGGACCCACTATGCTTCCAAAGTTGGTCTTGGACTCCTGGCCTCAAGTGATGCTCCCGCCTCGGCCTCCCAAAGTGTTGGGATTATGGGCGTGAGCCACCGTGACTGGCCCTACAACCCTTATTTGTAAATCTTTCAATGAGGTGTTAAGAAGGCTCGGAAACACACAGTGTCTGTGGGGTCCTCCAGGAATCAGACGCTGAGATGGAATCGGACTTGCAGGAGATTGGTTGGGACGTACCCGTTGTGGGTAAAGGTGAGGTGAAGCCAGAGGCTAGAGGGCTTCAGGCCACGGTGCAGGCCAGACACCTGTAGATGGAGAAAAGGAAGCAGAGAGATGGCAGGAAAAGCCGAGGACGGACGGAGGCCCCACAGCCCAGCTGATGGGGAGCTCCGGAGGAGAGACTGCCCGTTAGGGGACCCCAGGCTGGGGGCAGAGGCCGGCCATCCACGTCCGTGACATGCGGCCCTGGTCAGGATGTGGGTGGCAGAGTGGGCCCAGGAATGGAAGACGCATCAGATCTCAAGGGTGGGGCGGCTGAACTCTGTCCTGTCAGAAGCTGCTCTCACGGGGGGCTCTCAGCGGTCACCCCCACGGCAGCCACACCACCTCGGCAGACAGGAATCACCAGGGGTGGGACCAGCAGAATTCCCCCAGCTGGGCCCCACGGGGCTGGGGACTCTAATGTGTGGAGTCATGTGTGTGAATTGTGAGTGGGAAAGTGAGACCGTGCAGGGAAAAACCCACTGTCCTTGTCCCCACCTGAGAAAAGGGAGCAGAGAGGCAGGTTGTCCCCACCTGAGAAAAGGGAGCAGAGAGGCAGGTTGTCCCCACCTGAGAAAAGGGAGCAGAGAGGCAGGTTGTCCCCACCTGAGAAAAGGGAGCAGAGAGGCAGGCAGCAGGGAAGCCAGTTAGGGTTAATGAGCTGGGCCCCTCTAGCAGATGGTTTGGGCAAGCGCTTCAGGACAGTCCCACTGACTGGCCAGGATCAGGGAGGTTTTTCTCACCTGTGCCTGCCTCTCCTTGGTTGAGGGCTGCCTGTGCTTGATGAGCAAAAAGTCCAAGCACAGACAGAGTTGTGTGTGGTCCTTGGACGGACCAGGGTGCAGTGGTGCAGCCCACGGTGGGTGTGTAGCTGCCCAAATCCATCCACACCCACCTCAGTTGGCTCTGCCATGTTGCTGACCCTTCAAGGAGGTGGCCTCTGGTAATCACCAAACCCAGTAAAAGACAGCAGGAGAGTGAGGGGGGCAGGGGACAGTGGCTGCTGCAGCCGTTGGTCCGAGGGTAGCATGCAATAAATAGCATTCACCCACCTCCCTCCTCTCCTCCTGACATTCCAGGGTGCATCCAGCCGACGGCTTCTGTGCCACCAAGACAAAGGGAGGCTGGCAGGTGACTGGTGTGGGCCCCTTGTCGCATCTCCATCTCCATAAAGTGGTCCTAGGCCATGTGGGTAAATCACACAGTGTGGGCCCTCAGAAAATGATGTGCACCAGATTTGAGCCAGAGAAGAAACGCAGTCCTCAACAGGCGTCAACCTGGGAGGACGCAGCCCTTCTCTCTCCTCTTCCCAGACCACATAGCTGAGCCTTCACCAGGCTCTGGGAGTCCAAACATGTCTTTGCCTCCAGCCACAGAGCTGATGACTGAGTGTCCAGGGGGAAGCATAGCCACTGTGCAAGATGCTTCTCTGGATGCCGTCTTTCTGGGGTTCCCTGACATATTGAATGGAACTGAGGTTGATGGCAGTGCATTTTTGTCTTGCGTACAAATGCCAGAAACTCTTTCAGTAAAGAGGCCACACTAGGCAACTATGATTGAAACGATCACTTGGTTGAATTTGCAGCAGCCACTGTTATCTGCAGTCATCCACCTGGTTCTGAGAGGGGCTGGGCCAGTGACTACATTGAGGGTGCTATGGGAACCCCCCTCCTCGTCTGCTTAAGTCTTTCAAGGCAGTAGTGATCTTCCCTGTAGTGATCTCATCTCTCCTGTTGTGATCTCTCCTCGGTTGTGATCTCTCCTGTTGTGATCTCTCCCATTGTGATCTCTCCCATAGTGATCTCTCCCATAGTGATCTCTCCCACAGTGATCTCTCCTGTTGTGATCTCTCCTGTTGTGATCTCTCCCGTTGTGATCTCTCCTGTAGTGATCTCTCCTGTTGTGATCTCTCCCATTGTGATCTCTCCCTTAGTGATCTCTCCTGTTGAGCTCTCTCCTGTTGCACTCCAAGTGCATTCTTGCTTCTGATTTACTGTGGTGACTAGAAGGGGAATGTCTTAGTCTGTTCAGGTGGCTATAACAAAATCCCATAGATTGCATGTCTTATAAACAATAGAAATTTGTTTTTCACAGTTCTAGAGGCTGGGAAGTCCAAGATCAAGATGGAAGTCTAAGACAGGTTGACCTCTGTCAAGGACAGTATTCCTTCTCTGGCTGGAATCTGGTGTCCACATCATTTTCTGAGGGCTCAGAGTAGGTGTGACTTACCCACATTGACCAAGATGACTTTATGGACATGGAGGTGCCAGCAGATTTGGTGTCTGGTGAGGATCCACCTCCTGGTTCATAAATGGTGCCTTCACACTGTGTCCTTGCATGGTGGAAGGAGGTGAGGCCTCTTTTCTTTTCTTTTCTTTGAGATGGAGTCTCACTCTGTCACCCAGGCTGGAGTGCAGTGGTGCGATCTCAGCTCACTGCAAGCTCCACCTCCTGGGTTCATACCATTCTCCTGACTCAGCCTCCCGAGTAGCTGGGACTACAGGTGCCCACCACCACACCCAGCTAATTTTTTGTATTTTTAGTAGAGACAGGGTTTCGCCGTGTTAGCCAGGATGGTCTCGATCTCCTGACCTTGTGATCTGCCCATCTCAGCCTCCTAAAGTGCTGGGATTACAGGCGTGAGCCACGGTGCCCGGCCTGAGGCCTCTTTTCTAAGGGCACTAATTTATCATGAGGGCTGTGCCCCATGACCTAATCATCTCCCAGAGACCCTACCTCCTAACTCCATCACCTGGAGGGCTTGGTTTCAACAGATGAGTCTTGTGAAAGCAGGAACACTCAGACCACAGCAGGGGACATCCACTTGGCCTTCCTTACCTTAGTGACTAACATAACATCTAACAAGACAGCTCCAAAGGCAAGAAGTGGCGCCCCTGAGGCTGAGGACCAGGGACCCACCAGGGAAGCTGGGGCCACAGAGCAGATGGGGCCACAGCCAGAGACAACCTGAAGCAGAGGTGGAGGGGGCCTGCCTGCCTCCTGCGGACCAGCCAGCCCTACAGCACTGCTCTCATGCGCTGATCCCTGTCCAGGACCCAATAGCCTAGGAAGCACAGCCTGCAGGGTCAGCCCCAGGATTTAGAGCAGAGCAAGAGGAGGAGGAGGAAGAACTCCTTCCTCCAAAGATGCCCAGAAGGGAGATGCCCGACACCAGTAAAAATAACAGGAGCTTCTGTTTGCTCCACTCTGCAGCAGGCCCTGTGCTCTGTGTGTGCCTGTGTTGTGCACAAATGTGTGTCTGTGTGTGCACAGGTGTGCACAGGGGTGTGTGTATGTGTGTGGTTTCATCTCCTTGTCACAGTCACTAAAGACAAATGAAGAGGCTTAAGCTTGGGCTGGTTTTGTAAGTTGCCAAGCGTAGCTTGCACATGGCAGAACCAGCACCCCACACTCTTGCAGGGCAGACCAAGACCAAGAGGCTGCCAGGTTTTCTAGCAACGTCAGCAACAGTGAGAAACAACTGAACAGGTCCTCTTCCCTTAGGTTTTGGTAGCAGCATCAGTTAATGGTGTCTTGGAAGGACCTTTTGTCTATTATTGCAGTCCAGCTTTTTTTTTTGCCTCATTTGGGATTCAACTATTTTGCTTTATTTAAAGAAAGAGCTCAGGCTGGGGAAGAGACAGGTAGCATGAAGCTCCGGCAATGCAGCGACCCAGCACGGCACTGAACTCCAGTCCTGCACGCCTCACTGGGCCTTCTCTCCATCTACAAGAAGGAACAGAGGGTTCACTGGAAGCCAAGGTCACAGACAGTAAGGGCAGGCCTCAGAATTAAATCTCTAGCCTGGAATACACGATGCCAGGGCTGCCAGCTCCCGGCACCACCGGCCTTTGCAATGCTGAGGGGCCGATTGATATCAGGCTGATAGAACAAGCTCAGCCTGTGTCTGGGAGCTTCCACTCGGGCTGTGCTCCCTCAAATGCACAAGCCCAAAAATGAGGAAGTGAGGTTAACCATTCACTTAGATTTCACCTGGGAGGTCGGCTAACACAACATGTTCATAATGATTCCCAGCCTGAACTCTGAGAGCAAACTTGCCTCCTCCTCCTCCTCCTTCTCTTCCTCCTCCTCCTCCTCCTCATCTTCCTTCTCCTCCTCCTCCTCCCTCCACCTCCCTCCTCCTCCTCTTTCTTCCTCCTCTCTCCTTTCTTCCTCCTCCCTCCTCCTCCTCCCTCCTCCTCTTTCCTCCTCCTCTCTCCTCCTCTTTCTTCCTCCTCCCTCCTCCTCCTCCTCATCCTCCTCCTTCTCTTCCTCCTCCTCCTCCTCATCTTCCTTCTCCTCCTCCTCCTCCCTCCACCTCCCTCCTCCTCCCTCCTCCTCCTCTTTCCTCCTCCTCTCTCCTCTTCTTTCTTCCTCCTCCCTCCTCCTCCTCCTCATCCTCCTCCTCCTCCTTCTCCTCCTTCTCCTCCTCCTCCTCTTCCTCCTCTTCCTCCATGTGGCTGGGAGTGACCTCATCACAGTGATTATCTTGTCACCATCTGAAATGTGGGTATGACCTCTGAGAAGCTCAGGGCTTGGCTGTAGGTGGGGAGATTAAGGGGGCCTGAACCCAATCCCCTGTTTCTTCTGCTGGGGAGAGCGTCCCAGCCTGTGATGGGGGTTTTGGGGTAAAGTACTACCAATAGATGCCCAAGAAACCTTAGGGAGAGTCAAGGGGCCTCAGGGACCCCACAGGACCCCCTGCAAGGCCCAGGGAGAGTTGAGGGGCCTCGGGGAACCCACAGAACCCCCTGCAAGACCCAGGGAGAGTTGAGGGGCCTCGGGAACCCCACAGGACCCCCTGCAAGGCCCAGGGAGAGCCAAGGGGACTTGGGGACCCCACAGGACCCACTGCAAGGCCCAGGCTCCCCAGCCAGGCCCCCACACCCCTGCATCCTCTGCTCCTGAGGGTCCACCAGCAGCAGATGGTTGATGATGGTCGCAGTCTGTCCCCCTCTTACCTCCTCCTGCTCCAGGACAGGATATTTGTCCCAGACATTACCATTCACAAGACATTTTCAAACTCAGGATCCCCCGAGAAGAAATATCACACTCCTTATTGCAGGAAAGAAACCAACCCAGGGGCCCAGGAAGTGTGAATGACCTGCTCCCTTGCTCAGAGCTCTCACACCTGCTTTTGTTTGTTTGTTCCCATCTTCATCCTCCCCAAGAGCTGCTCAGTGGACCACACTCTGTGGGGTCTGTCATCCCCCTGACCACACACCTGCTCCTATGCCAAGAACCAGGGATCCTCCCTGATTTCTTACAGGAGTCTCGGAATTGCTGGTGCTGGTGCAGGTGCAGATTTACACCATCAACGAAAGCACAACCATGGGGAAATCAGAGTCCAGGTCAAGGTGAGAAGCACCTTCTAAGCATTTACTAGATAAATGCCTGATCATTCCTCAGTGAGAAATATGAAAAGCAACCACAATTCATCTTAAAGCAGGTGGACATGCATTATCTTTATATTGCTGGCATTCACATTGAGATTTCCTTATGAAAACTATAACCTTTCTTCTTCTATGTAAAACAGCAATGCTGGCTTACAGTGGTTCTGGAAGGAAGGCCTCTTTACTTGGAGGTACCCCAGCTGGTGAGTCGCACTGCTCATTCTGACAGCTTCCTTTTCCACCCCAGCGAGGAGGGCGTGTGCAATGTCGTCCACTCACAGGTCAGCCTGGGAGGGCAGCCGGCTTGTCCTCAGGAAGGCCAGTGTGCTCAGAACAGAGATGGCCATTCCCCGCACTGCTCCCGCCAGGTTCTGTGAGGCCAGGCGCATTCTGACGACAGCCCACGCCCATCAGATGCCTCCTCTGTGGAGTCACAGATGGAAATCCTTTCTATCCCTGGGAGCTCTGTAAGTCTCGCCGATGATCCCTGCACAGGTGCTTGGGTTGGATCTGGATCTGGATCTGAGCAGGTGTCCGATGATCCATACACAGGTGCAGGGTTACCTGTATCTGAGCAGGTGTTCTCTGGAGGAACGGGTGCCAGGGAAACTACTTCTGCTGACTGCAGTGAACCGACTCCATCCTTGGGTGCCAGGGAAACTACTTCTGCTGACTGCAGTGAACCGACTCCATCCTTGGGTGCCAGGAGGACTCCAGCTCAAACCCTGTGGTTCTCCCGTGCAGTGAAATCCCTAAGGACACAAGAGATCGGGTCTCCCATAACGCACATCCCTGGTGCAAACCCTGCAAAAGCCACGCCGTCAGCACCTCGCAGAATGAACATTTATTATTTCTGTCCATCTTTGGAACCGCTGGTGCCTGGAAACCAGCTGATCACATGGTGGTAACTTCCGGTTGTTGAAGTGCCACGGCAGCTTTGATTTTCACGCAGCTGGTGCTGGGCCAGCCTCACAATGCAAGGCCCTGTGTTCCAGCTGACAATGAAGAAAGTGTCCTCGGGAGGGAAGAGGAGTCCCAGAGATCCAGACAAGAATTCCAGCTCCCTCGGCCACGGGCTTTCTCACCCTGGGCGCACTGATTCTGCTAAGCCTCCGTATCTTTATCGTAGAACAGTAATTATAACGCCACTTCATAGTGTGCCAGTAAACATGCAAATAAATGGTGCGATGTGTGCAAAACCTTTAGCATGTGCTTGACAAATTGGTCATATATGATAGTTGAGGGGAAAAATAAGTAATATGCTTTCCTCACCCACCCCTGGGTTCATGACTGAGATCCTATAACAAAATAGGGATTAACAAAAGAAAAGCATAATGAATTTATTTAATAGAAGTTTTATTTTACATGAGAACCTTCAGAAATGAAGACCCAAAGACACAGAGAAAACTGTATTTTTATGGGAGTCGTGCTGAAGTGTGATTGGAGGAAAAGGGTGTGATCTGAAGGTGATACGCTCGGGAAATGAACAAGGCCTCTCGGCTCAGAACCTTCCTGGCCTGTCTGTGTGCAGCTCCTCTCCAGGTTTCAGAGGCATACGAGGGGCTGATATCTGGAATGACAGTCTTATTTTCAGGGAAAGTAGGTCAGAAAACTCTTTTCTGGCCAGCTCACAGGGGAGAAAGGTAGAAAAAGGCCAGAGAGGAACCTTCTGGCTTCTGCAGTTTTCTCATTTCCCAAGATGTCCTATTTTGGGATAGCATTTCCTGCACCCCAGCAATAGAATCCAAAGCACAAACAATTCAGAAATTCAACTGTCATCTAGTGTCATAGAATGGTCTATAAAACCACATGCATTATCATAACCCATCATTTGTTTTTGTGTCTCAAATTACAGGCTCTTACAGGCAGAAGCACCGTCTCGAACTTAAAACAGAAACATCCCATCATCCTTGAATTACAGAGCAGCTAGCTCAGCCCCCTTTCTAATATTTTAATCTGTTTTAAACAAGAATCAAGGTTACGTCCTACATCAATTCATCTCAACAGCTTTGTTGTCTGCATTTGTAATTTTGAAATCAGTTATTTCAAAACATTTTCAGAAAAAAGCAGGAGATAAATACACACATCCATACATCCATATCTGTGAGCACACACACATAATCACTGCATGAGACCCATAGATATTCACTTTATTCTAAATTCTGTTTAGAATAGTAGTCACATTGGAAGTGAGCAAATTGCCATGAATAAGAAGGATCTTCCTCACTGTGCTAGTTTTCTAAACCAGGAGTCAGTGCTGGAATGAAAAGGATGCTGGCCGCAGAGTGAGCCTGCTCAGGCCTTGGTTCCACTCCGCCTCCACTTTTTGGTTGGTTGTTAAACATCAGTTTACTTCCCTGAGTCTAAGTTTCTTCATCCCAAACATGGGAAGAAAAAAACTCCCCTTTCCAAACCACGATGGTGTTGTTAGGGTGAAATAAAGTAATATGCACCAAAGTACTTTGAAAATATAAAAAGATACAAATATAAGGTGTTTTTAAGTATATTTGTATACTACAGGTATAAAGTATTGAGATAAAATATATTTTTAATATTATAAACAATAAGCAAAGATCAGGACTTGAATTTCTTGGCACTCTCTCTTTCGTTACCATACGACAAATGGCGTTAGTTCAAGAACTAACTTTCCTAAGGAAGTACTATACGTGGCTATTACTTTAATAACTTTTCCTCAGAGCATCATAAACCGCCACCTTCAGAAATGCCTAAAACGAATGTACTCAGCGGCTTCAGACTGACATGGCCTGAGGTAACTTGTAAAGCCTTCCATTTCCAAGCTCCCTCATTAAAACAATTCACAACGTATTCAACAACGTCCTGAGTGCTTCCTTCTCTGTGTGCTGAGAAAAGTGGGGGAGGGAAGCAGCGTTGATTAAATCTCACTTGGTCCCGGCCACCATTCTGTGCATGTTACATGTGTGCCGTGCATGTACAGATCGTGCTGTTCACTTTAGCCTAAAGCTGCCTCCTTACACGTTTTAGGTTCGGCCTAAAGGTTGCTTCATACACAATGAAGTGTGACTTACCTGGATGTGTCCACAGGACGCCACCTGCTCCTGGAACACGTAGCCAAGCCCCAGCCAATCCCAGCAGCCGTCTCTCAACTGCTCACAGCGGCCACTGTTCAAACTGCTGAAAAAGGCAAACACTAGGCTAGGCGTGGTGGCTCACACATGTAATCCCAGCATTTTGGGATGCGGAGGTGGGCGGATCACCTGAGGTCAGGAGTTAGAGACCAGCCTGGCCAAAATGACGAAACCCTGTCTCTACTAAAAATACAACAATTAGCCAGACGTGGTGGCGGGCGCCTGTAATCCCAGCCTCTCAGGAGGCTGAGGTAGGAGAATCGCTTGAACTCAGGAGGCGGAGGTTGCAGTGAGCTGAGATCGCATCATTGCACTCCAGCCTGGGTGAAAGGGCGAGACTCCATCTCAAGACGAAAAAAAAAAAAAAAAGGCAAACACGGAGCCGGAGCCAATCCCACTGTTTCTGGCTGTCACTTCCATTTCCATTCCCGCTATTGCCACTTTTCTGTCCTAACCCGTAGCAGCCCCAGAGTCACACCTCAGAACCTATTCTGGTTCTGGGGAGCTGCCTGATGTGTGACCCATTCTTTTCTCTATTAAACTCTGTTATACTTAATTTGTCTGAAGTTTTTCTTTGAACGATGCAATGAGGAAGCCGAGGCTTAGAGAGCTCCTCCCTTGACAACTTCCTAACCTGGCGAGTGACCGAGTGCAGACTGGAAGCCAAGGTTGCATTTCTTCAAGCATGCTGACTCCCAAGACTAGAAACAGGTAGATATTTAAAATAGCACCGATTTACAGAATGCCATAGCATTTGTATTATTCAGTTTGCTTTTCTCAATCATCTTCATCTTTTTTCCCCTCTAGGATTCTTTTATATATGGGGCCACCCCCCAAATAGTCCTGAATCTAAACATTTTGCTTACTGTCCAAATAAATAAAAAATAACCCAGAAATCCAATTTTTTTAAAGTAAGCATTTCTTGCCTAGACTACTTTATACAGGAAATATCACAAAGATTCTTTGTCACTCTATCTTCCAGATTTTGGTTAACGAAAATGGGATGATTCACAATTGATGCGAGAATTATGAGCCTCAAAGGTTACCCCATTCCTGCCTATTTTCCCCCACTCCTCAGGCGGCAGAGCCCTTCGGCTTACCCTGTATGTTGGTAACTGGCTGACTGGAGGCCGTGGACTTCGGCCAGCCAAAAGGCTGGGGTGACAGTAGCTGGATGAAAAGCCTGGCTCCCCCTGAGCCCCCCAGTCCCCAGAGGCCCAGAGGAAGCAACCAGAGAGAGGGAATCAGGGTTTCCACTACAGAACCAACTTGCTTCCTGCATCAAAAAGAGGTAGCTGCCTGTCTCCTAGCTGGAGGGATTGCATTTCCTGGTTCTGATCTTGGAGATTAAACAGTGAGACCACCATTTTTATTTTACCAATGGGAAGCCTACTGAAAATGTTCTTCTAGGTTAAAAAACAAATTTCTCCATTTAACAACGAGGCTTTAGCTAATGTCATTGCCACTAGCAACATATCATCTTTTGAACTTAAATTAAAAACTTTGATACCTTTTTATGAAAAAGCTTCCACATAAAACATAATTACTGTAATGAAGAAGCATTGCTTCTCATTGAGGATTTCTGGCAACGATTTTGTTCAATTTGCTGAGGAATGTCGGGATGAACTGACAGGGGTAACCCCTGAAGAGAAACCACCAAAGATAATTCTTAAGGAGAGCAGATGAAACAAAGCAGGATGGAAGGCAATTATCTGTTGCAGTTAAGTATCATACATTTCTAAGACGGAAGCACAATGCCATCAGTCAGCTGAACTGGACATCTATCAAAGAGAGCATTTTACTTTCTGTCCTATTAATGGTGTCTCATAATAAAATAATAATTTGCATTTCTATTGTGCCTTTCATCTCATAGGATTTTATAGATGCTAAATTATTTAGCTTTATAACAACTCGGAGACGTGAATTTCTTGAGATGCTAACCTGAGGCATTGATAAACTGAATGACCTCCCCAAGGGCACAGCTCGAATAGATCCTGAAGAACAGCTTAATCCTGTCCCCCAGGGGCATTTCTGCTGCCTCATATTTTATGGTTAAGCTTATCTGAGCACTTTTCTCACCCAAACAGATGTTTCTTTTTAAACTCCAATCAAAATCACCCCATCATTACGTGACATAAAGAATTATAGCCAAGTAAATCCCTTCAGAATATAGCTTAGTCTCTGTGCCTTTTTTTTCATTATTAGTGACCGGATCATCTGACAAGCATTGAGGAACTGGTAGAGAATCTGGGATCTTTTAGAGGGACATCCTTCCACGCACTGCACGAATATGTCACCCTGTTTTGCATGGCGTATAGCTGGCCTTCACTTATGAGAGTACTTCAGGATTTTGTGCTTAAATTTTATAGTGTCTATATCGATAACGGAATAATAATGGCAGACATAATTTTGTATTCAGCCTTCCTAATTTAGCTCACCCCAAATTGAGCCTGGAGGTAGAATCCGTGAAGCCAGGGGGAAAAAGAGATTAGGATTGAGAAAGAGGGTAATTAAACATTTCCCAGGCTAGAGAGGCTGAAGAAGAAATAAAATTGGGTTGGCATAAGAATATAAAACTGAGGACTGAAGACCTCTTCCTATGCACGAGCCACGTCCCGTGTTAAATAATTAACTGGTTGGCCATTGGGCTGAGGCACTCCAGGGCCCTGGGCTGCTATATAGGCAAGCAAAACCCAACTCAGTCTAAATAGTAACAGGAAACTTAAGCTCGATCAATCAGAAACCGCCAAATCCCCACCAAGTGGAGACTTTACCAATCAGTAACTGCTAAGGAACCCCTCTAGCTGGGGACTTTCCACTTTAACCAATCACGTGTTTCTTTGTCCTGCTTCCAGAGACACCTTGTAAACGTTTTCCCTCCCACCCTCTTATGGAGCTCTTAGAAGCTTGTGGTTTGTTGCTGCCTGATTCATGAATCGCTGTCAGCTCAAATAAACTTGTCAAATTTTTCATGTGCCTAAATTTATCTTTTAACATCCCTCAAATATGTAAGCCTTGTTTACATTAAGGATGAGAAACAGATTTCTATTTTCTAATCTAAACTTTTCTCCATGAAACATTCTAGAATGTCTTCCAAAAATGATTTGTACGTAGATAATATTTCTGAGAAACAAACATAGACTCTTAATTGGTGCATACCAAATCCCAGTTTCTTACAATGATTTTTTGATTGTGAATTGGATTTTGGTGGGGGAGGTTGGAATTTGGAAGGAGATATTACAACACTCACTGTTCCTTTAGTTGTCTGAGTAGGTACTGTTAACTAACTAACAGTGGTCACCCAAAAGATGGTGGTCACCCCATTGTGATCTAAAAGACAGTGGTAACCCTAAAGACAGAGGTCACCAGAAGTGCTGATTTGTGTTGAGGCAAAGGCAGACACACAATCCCGGGGTCCTGTGGGGTCCTGAAGCCAGTGTTCTCAGGGCACAGGAAAGTGGCGGGTGCACTGAGCCAATATTAACTGCTGCAGGGAATGTAGTTCACTCTGGTGTAATTGGTATTGTGTGTAAGGACCTCCCCTCCCCTCCCCTTCCCTTCCCTTCTCCAGACAGAGTCTCACTTTGTTGCCCAGGCTGGAGTGCATTGGCTCTATCTCTGCTCACTGCAACCTCCGCCTCCCGGGTTCAAGCGACTCTCCTGCCTCAGCATCCTGGGTAGCTGGGATTACAGGCACCCACCATCACACCTGGCTAATTTTTGTATTTTTGGTAGAGATGGGGTTTCACCATGTTAGTCAGGCTGGTCTCGAACTCCTGACCTCAGGCGATCTGCCCTCCTCGGCCTCCCAAAGTGCTGGGATTACAGACATGAGCCACTGCACCCAGCCAAGACATTTTCTTTTCTGCTTTTAAAGCATTATACTTATCTCAAAACATTCAATATAGCAAAAAAAAAAAAAAAAAGAGGGAAACATCCCAAAGCATCTGGCCTTCCCTCTTCATCCTTCCCCCTTGCCACCCTTTTAATCAAATCATCCGGACACCAACCAGGGTCACTGGGCCTACACAGTTCTGCGCGGTGCTAACAGGAAATCACTTTGTTTAGAACAAAAAATCACTTGTGATCACATCGCTTTGCTTGCTGGACAAAAATGCTTTAAAGATGATGTAATTAAATGTATTTAAATAAACTCTTGACACGGGTGTGAACTATTTTTAAATGAAAATAATTTTTTAACTGATCTCTCATTCCTCTGTGCACACTTTCAGAACTCTTACATACTATTTTTATAACAATTGAACCTGCTACCTAGCGGGATAGAATCGGTCTAGTGCTATCTCCTGAAATGTAATTACATACAGGAGGAAAAAGGCTGCTAGGTGTAGTATGGGAGATGCCGCTTCTTTTCAATACCATCACCGTCAGAGAATACACTGTAAAACTTGTTTTTCTACCATTTTCAGATTTCTTTTTGCTAGTTGCAGTATCTGAATTTGCTTTATTATTTACAAAGCTTGACAGTTTAAAACATGGTTTTCACCGACATGCCCTTGTACTTGTGTGATGGGGTTATTGTCTCTGCAGTAAATTCAGAATTCGATTGTCATGAGGCAGCTTAGTCGACCTCTGATCAACACACTCACTCAGAGAGTTTTCTAACCTCCAGGAAGGAAATAGCCCCAGGGCTGCTCGCATTTCTTTCTCTTTCTGAGCACTGCCCTTTCAGTGCTTTACCTAGTTTTCTTTATCATAGCCAATGTTCCCTACAGGCAGGAGTTCAGTGACAGTGGGGTGTGAAAACTTTGTATCCGAGCGTGGACATTAATCCTCCTGCCCCTCTGGAGCAACAACAGTGAAGGGAAGTGGGCCAGTTTGGGCAACATAGTGACTGCACAAAAATCACAGGGAGTTCACAGAGGATGGAATCTCATCCAGTTAACCTATTCCTGACCCTGAAAACACACACACACACACGTGCACACGAGAACACACACGCGCGCGCACACACACGCACACACGTACGCACACACCCGCACGCACACATGCACACGCACACCCACACACGCACAGACACGTGCACACGCATCACACACGCGCGTGCACACGCATCACACACGCGCACGCACACGCACACGCACGCACGCACGCACTTGCACACGTGCACACACATGCACATGGACACACACGCACGCACACACACACGCTACTGACGGCTCGCACAGCTCCAGGGGTGTCTGAAGCCTGTGATCATCAGCACCAGGGACCCAGAGACAAAACCAGCAGCCACAGCCAGGCCTCCAGGCTTCCTGTGGCTCCGCCCAGCACAGCACTGTATCTGATGTGTCGGGCGGAAGCTTCGTTGAAGACAAACATCCATTGTTAATTTCTGAGGCCGTGTCTGTTTGGCAGATGTGAGGTTATGGTCGGTCAGCGATGTCTGTCCACACATAGGCACGCCTCTGGACTCACTGAATCAGACACCCTGGGACCCGGCTCTGCGATCTCCGTCTTCCAAGCCGTGCAGGTGATGCTGGACCACACTTCAGTTGAGAATGAAGGGATGGAAATTATTTTAAATTGAAAACTCCTGAACAGTCAGCAGCCGCAGAAAGAAACTACCTCCACTTAAGCAGCTGCCCCAGGAAGCAGAGCTGCTTTGACCCCTCTGGGGGCATATCCTGCTTGGAGGAAGACTAAACCCCCCCCACACCGAGCAGTGCAGTACAGGCCGGGCATGGTGGCTCACGCCTGTCATCCCAGAGCTTGGGGAGGCTGACGATCATCTGAGGTCTACTCGAGACCAGCCTGGCCAACATGGTGAAACCCCATCTTTACTAAAAATACAAAAATTAGCCGGGTGTGGTGGCGCACTCCTGTAATCCCAGCTACTCAGGAGGCTGAGGCAGGAGAATCTCTTGAACCTGGGAGGCAGAAGTTGCAGTGAGCCGAGATCACACCACTGCCCGTCAGCCTGGGCAACAGAGAGAGACTCCATCTCAAAAAAAAAATAAAACAAAACAAAACAAAACCAGTTCGGATCAGCTGCCCATTAGCGTCAAGACCGAAAGGACCTTCCACACTCCCCGTGAAGCCCTGAGCCCCTGTTTTTATTGTGTTTGCTGGTATATAAACCCTTTCCTCATTACTGTGTCCTCACGTGTGTGTGCATGAGCACAGCCGATGGACCTTGCTCTCCCTCCTGTCCACCTGTCTGCTGTCCGTTCACTTGCAGACCCCAGATATTTCAAGCTATGACAGTAGAGAAAAAAGTCTCCCCAACAATAGAGAAAAAAGTCTCCCCAACAAGAACTGCTGCTGTCAGCCTGCTCACCTGCACCATGGTTCCCACCAGCACTCCTGTTACAAGTGACAGATGAAAACTCACGCGGAAGACGACCTCAGAGCCAACATTCCTGGAAGGAGGCTGCGCTGGGGGCCGTGCTGGGGGCTTCACGTGGAATATCTCATCTTCCCCACACAATGACTTTGCAAGATGGAAAACACTCGTCCACCCCAGCTGACCGATGGGGACAGGTTTGGAGAAAGCAGAGCCAAGGCAGGCACTGATGGAAACACGCGGAGAAGAGGGCGAGTGAGCTCGGCGCCGGTGGCGGGGGCACGCAGGGAAGAGGGCGAGTGAGCTCGGCGCCGGGGGGCACGCAGGGCAAACACCGGGCTAATCGGGTGAGGGGGCGCAGCAGACACGCTGCTGCGGGTAGGATTTTCTTTTGGTCTCAGATCTGATTTTGTGAAATGGGAACATGAGCAGCACCTCAGGTTTCTGTGCTAAGTGAAGCAATTCCTGCAGTGCCTGGCATGTTGGGGGGCTCCACACCTCAGAGTCCTCCTGCTGACCCTGAGGTCATTTCTCTCCCCTGCTCAGGGGAGCCCAGGGGACCTTCAGTCCAGACCTGACCTGCCCCTCACCTGCTGAGTAAGTTCAGGTAAACGATTTACTAGCTTTCTGTCTGGGCTTCCCCTAACTGTAAAATGAAGCATTGGGGGTGTCTGGGTGGAGGCCTATGCATCTCCCATTCTGTTTAGATTTGAGGCCTCAGTCAACAAAGACTTAGTGAGCACCTACTATGTGCACGGCACTGTGCGAGGAATTAGGGATCTAACACTGAAGCAGGAAGACATGAGCTCAGTCTTGGTGAGGCTTACAGTTTGTAGGGGAGAAACACAATCATCAGTGAATCACAAAGCCAACATTTGATGACAAACTGTGACAGGTTTGCTCTGGTTGCCATAACAGTCTATCACAGACTGGGTGGCTTAAATCACAGACATTTAGTTTTTCATCGTTTCAGAGTCTGGAAGTCCAAGATCAAGGGACCAGAGGGTTGGTGTCTGGAGACGGCTCTCCTCTTGGGTTGCAAATAGCTGCCTTTTCACACCATGCCCTCCCATAGCAGAGAGAGAGAGAAAGGGGGAGGGAGGGAGAGATGGTTGGAGAGAGAAAAAGAGAGGGAGAAGGAGAGAGAGAGAGAGAGGGAGGGAGGGAGAAAGAGAGGGAGAGAGGAGAGGAGAAGAAACGGAGCACACTCTCTGGTATCTTTCCTTTTAAGGAAGCTAATCCTATTGGATTAGGGCCCTGCCCTTGTGACCCAACATAACCTTAATTGCCTCCCTACCCCACATACACCCACTCTGGGGTTTAGCACTTCAGCATGTGAATTTTGGGAGGACACATACATTCAGCCTGTAACAGGTGGTGTGAGGCAAGTTCATTGTTCCGTGTCAGGACCAGTCTAGTTTATCAGGGGCTCAGTAATTCAAACAACTTTACTATGATTTGAGGAAAATATGAGTGACTGAAAAAGAGAACTTAGGCAAACTGGGTGATTTATTTGCCATCTGTCTATAGTATCAACTGAGGTTAGAAACCCCATACTCTGGTATCTAATAACTCGGTTCTGGGCATCTATACAGACTTTTAATATATCCATGTTTCCAAGCCGAGCAGAATGTAGAGGAGAGGGGTGTGGGAGGTGGTAGGGCTGAAGCTTATGGGCAGAGGAGACGAACAGGGCATTGCCCTTTCACAGTCATTGTGGTGTCTGTGAGTGACAGGTGAGTGGCCCAGTATCAGTGTATGTGACAGATTCGGATCTGAAACAGACAGCCCTAAATTAGATTCCAACTCCATCTCTCACTGTCTCTGAGACTTTGAGAAGTTTCCCTAACCTAGAAAACCTCTACCTCCGTATTTACAGAATGGGAGAAAGGCCAGTGCCATGAGGTTGCTTTTAGAATTAATTGGAGTAGCACATGCAAGCCCTCGGCTTTGGGGCTGCTCCGCCGTGTGGCTCCCAGCGCGCTCCGGTCACCTGTCTGCAGCAGGCTCAGGTTCCCGTCCTGAGCCAGTCAGAGTGGCACTCCGGGGTGGACTGTCCCCACAGGGTCTTCAGCCAGCAGCAGCTGGAATGGGCCCCATCAGTGAGACAGAGGACGGAAGGGGAGAGTTGCATTTCCAACCCTGACAGCTAAAGAGCAGAAGATGACAGGTTCCCAGAGACCTGTAAGCACAGACCTGCCAGCTCTTTCATTCCTGGGCTGTGGGCTTTTTTTTTTTTTTTTTTGACAAGCTAAGAGAACAATATTGGGCTTCCCCACAAATGACTGATTTTCTCTGAAGGCAAACCCCCCAGATTACATGCACTCAATCATCTGGGAACCGGGCCAGACCCAAACAGAGGTTTTGTCCATAAGATTTCAGGGCAGCTTTTTTACGGTCAGAGTCTTGCAGAGGGGATGAATTACAGTGGCCACTTAGAAAATTTCCAAATAAAGAAATCCTAATTGTTTCAGGGTCAGTGAGGCCTTCTCTCACCTGAACTGGGATCAGATTAGCAGCAACAACAATGAATGAGTGATGGAGACGGCATCCGGCACCCACAGTACACACAGAATGGTTATGTTTATCTTCCATCTCCTGTGCCAGCTTACTGACATGGGGCACTGCAGTTCCCAGAGCAAGCCTGGTGAGTGGCAGAAGCCCAGAGGCTGCAGACCTGCCTTGTAATTGGGGACATCCCCAGCGCTGCGAGAGTGGTTTTCCTCACACCACCTGGCTCAGCCATCTGGGTTGAAATCCACTGTGCATAATCACCTTTCCAGGCATCTCCCCTGAGATGTGCTCTGACGTGGGCAGGAAGGAAGGCTCACCTGCGAGCATGACATTGCACTCAGAGGCGCATTGCTTCCATCAGTGACCAGACAAACCATTCCCTACATTATTTTTCTGGTCAGGGAGAGCATGAAAAATAATAGCTCATCAGATTTTAAGCGTGCAGGGATCTGACGTGACATTGCTCAGAACAGTCACATTTGTCCCTTCCCATACAGGACTTGTCCCCTGATGAGCACATGGGACAATCATCCAAGTAGAATGAAACCAGCTGGGAGAAGCCACCACACATCCCCTTCAGAAACAGCAACTCTCCCACGCCTGACTGACTTCCTGGTGCCTGGAACTCCTCTGAGTGGAGCAACTCTATTGACTGAGATTATCTCCATAAAGTCCAGGTGAAGGTGAAAATAACAATCTCACCATTTACTGATTGTCAATTTCCTGTCCAATAAGAAAAGAATAAGACTTCAGGGAGGCAGGGCAGGCAACAGGCACGTCTGAGTCCATTTCTCAGCTGAAATCTACAAGAAACTGAGGACCTCAATCCCCCAACCCTGGAGCAATGCAGTCCTGCCGGTATGCTTGTAGGGGTGCTCAGAAGCAGACCCTTCCCCACCTGAGCCTTCAGATGAGTCCTCATCCCTGGCCAGTACCTGAGTGTGGACTTGTGAGTGAGCCAAGCCAGCCATGCCACACAAAGATTCCTGACCCACAAAAACTGTGAGATGATAAATGTGCATTGATTCAAGCTGCTAAGTTTGGGGGCAACTTGTTACACAGCAGGAGATAACTACTACACCACCACCATGATCTGTTTTTTGGCCTTTGAACGTATCTCATTTATTCTTTTTTTAAATTCTGTTTTCCTCTCCAAGATTGCCACCCAGTGTCTGTCCAATTCCTCACCCACAAGTCAGTTTCCACTTTCCCTCTGAGCCCTTCTGATTTTTTCCACTCATGATGGTTTTTCTCTTCCACAAGACACAGAATTTATTGTCTCAGCTGTGCCATTCCAAGATCAGGGTTTCTTTAAGCATTCCCCCGGCCTTGGAATAGCACAGCTCAAAACAAGGTACAAATGGGATTTACTTTTTTTTTTCTGTGCTCTTTATGACTGTATTACATCCCCTTTCACTCTTTTTTTCTTTCATTTTTGAAAATATAATAATGTTATCAACTAAAGTCACCATGTTGTAAAATAATATCTTGAATTTATTTCTCTTATCCAACTGAAATTTTGTATCCTTTGATCAACGTTTCCCCAACCTCCAACTCCCCCATTGCCCAGCCCTTAGTAACCACTATTCTTCTCTCTGCTTCAGTGAGTTCAGCTTTTGAAAATTTTCCACAGATGAGTGAGGTCATGTGGTATTTGTCTTTCTGTGCCTGGCTTATTTCAGTTAATATAATGTCTTCCAGGTTCATCCATGTTGTTGCAAACGACAGGATTTTCCTCTTTTTTAAAGCTGAATAGTATTCTGTTGTGCATATGTACCCCATTGTCTTTATTTGTTGATGCCTTGTTGGACACTTAGGTTGAGTCCATATCTTGGCTATTGTGGAGAATGCTGTAGTAAACATGAGACTGCAGAGATGTCTTTTAATATACTGATTTCAAAGCCTTTAGATATAAACCAAGAAGTGGAATGAATTGATCCAGGTGGGACTGAATACCAGACAGACAAGTCATCAACACTAGTAGGATTTGCATTTCTTTAGAAGCAAAGCTGGAGAAGATTGGAGGTTAGGCACTGGATCAGCACTGGTTGTCCAAATAAAGTAAGCATGAGAGTCGGGTGAAAGGAAGGAGTAGCCACTGGGAAGGGTCCATGAGAGGGAAGCAAGTGTGAGTGAGTGCTATAGACTGCTGGGGGTGGGGTGGGGGTGGTGCTGACACCTGTGATATGTGTGTGTGTGTGTGTGTGTGTGTGTATGTGTAACTTTCCCTCTAAATCTCTAAGTTACCCAACGGCTCCCCAAGAACCTGGTAACCTAGTGGAATGCAATGCTTTGAAATCCACTCAGTAAATATTCATTGAACCAGTGTATGAAACTAGAATCCCTGTTCATCCCTTTCTTTCTTTCTTTGCAATCTTTAAAAGCAAAAAGACATATATTATTAACAGTTCATTTATAGAGTCAATTCTATTTCTAAAGAGATAGAGCATATTTTAAATGTGTTACTTTTTTAATGTTTATTTCTATGGCTATTTAGGCTTAGTTTATATTCAATTTAACAGGGAAAAACATAACGAATTCAATAGCAATGCAAAGGTAATATAAATAGTCTAATAACAAGATATGATTTTCATTTGGCCCATATTAAAACTGGATTTAGAGGAACCATGCAAATTCACACTTAATAACAAATATATTTATATGCGTCTATTAATTTCCCATTCGGAAACACAAAAGCTTTCTAGATAAGGTATTTTACTGTCTGATATAAGGCATAGTTCTAATTATATAAAGGTTTAGGAAAATCAGGCCTAGTCAAGTTATATCTACATATTCATATGACTTAACTAAATTAATTGAGTATAATAGACTAGAATTGTGTAAAAATTAATATTTGGAGTTTTTATGTTGTTGCTGTAATTTTAAAAATGCCAGGCAACTGGTTTGACTAAAAGTTCTCACTGCTTTGGTTATAGCCAAACTATAGGGGGGAAATGTTTATTTTAACTGTTAGTTGTTACAGGCTAATGGTTCATCATGTCCTTAATAGAAATCAGACCCAGATGTTTTAGATAAAAGCATACCATTTATTCAGACTATATCCACATTAGAAGAAGAGAAATAGCAATTTAGTAATAGTCAGAATTATTTTACCAACGCAGGCAATCAGTTTGGAGCATCTGCTACCACCAGAATCCTTAGGAGATCAAATCATCATTTCTGCGATCAATGCAACGATGTTTGATCATCTTTAACGTCTACTATACTCTCTGCTTGCAATTCTTTTCCAAATTAATTAATTTAGCCAAAAATCTCAGGAAAACAATTTAGCCTGAATGTAATACTCTGTTTCCCCATAATGAAAAAGATAAATAGTCTAAAACAGAAAAAATAAACACACAGCAAAACACGTGCTCTTATACGTGGAAAGTTAAGCTAAGAATGTTTGGGGGAAATTGGCAGACCTTAAGTCTTGAATTTTCTGGGACCTTCCCTCTATTCTTCTCACTTTCAGCTAGCATCTTCCATGCCGTGGTATACAGCATGATAGGGTTTGAACTACACATGTTGCTCCTCTTATTATAAATGCCTAATCCTTAGCTGAAACTATTTGTCACAATAATATCCTGTAGTGAAGACTTTTACAAGATAATTACATGGTGAGTAAACAAGGCAGTGTTGTCTTTTATCTGTTCTAAATGGGATGTCTTCTAATTTTATCACCTACCTTTTGTTCATATATTATTGGGCAGGGTAAATAAGAATCACTGAACAGCCTTTCTAAATCATTTGTTATTATCCATGCTACTATTTCTATAAACTAATGAGCAATATTTAGTGCTTACGATCTTCCCACTTTATAAACATCAGCTTTCATTGTTTCTGCATTAGGTGGAGGAAATATTGAGCCCAGCTTTCCCTTTGAATGCTTACAAGGTTGCTTGTAAAATATTCTTCTGATGACACAGACTGGAGAGAACTGTGTCTTTAACCTATTGCATTTAACCCAGGGATGCTCACTGCTAGCTGAGGGTGGCCCAAAATGGAGGCCACAAATGAACCTCTTCTCTACTCTTCTTTCCTTTTATCCTCTCCTTTCCTTTCTCCTTTCCCTTCCCTTCCCTCCCCTCCTCCCCTACCCTCTCCTTTTTCTTTCCTTTTCTTTCCTTTTTTAAAATTTTTTCTTTCTTTCTTTCCTTCCTTCCTTCCTTCCTTCCTTCCTTCCTTCCTTCCTTCCTTCCTTCCTTCCTCCTTTCCTCCCTTCTAACATTTATGGACACATTACCATGAACACAGTGGACGCTGTTGTTAATTCCATCTTAAAAATGAGGAAAATGAGGTTTTAAGAAGTTAGGCAACTCATCTGATGTTACACATCTGAGAGGTAAGAAAGCTGTACTGAAACCAGGATCACCTGACCCTGTGATACAGCCTGTCACTCATTCACTTCATGTCTCTCAGAGATCTCTTCACGTGCCAGTCTCACTGCTCGGAGGAGCACAGAAGTCTCATTGGAGAATATCTGGGTAGTACCAGATAGGGAACCTGTCCTCAGAAAGCCACCTTTCTCACCCAGATACCCCTTCGGCTACTTGATAGATCACCTGTCACGCCCATCACCTGTGCCTATGGTCAGCGTCTCCCCACACTTGCAGCTGCTCTCAGTGACTAGGGCAAAGTCTGACTTTGAAAGCTCATTTCAGGTGCTATGCACGTGACAGTGTACCAGCAATGTCTGGCTTGTTCCTTCTCCCATTCCTTCAGGGGTGGTCAACCAATTCTGAGAAGGAAGCCCTGCCCCCATTCCTCCATCCCCACATCCCCGTCGTCCTCGGCTCCCAGCTCTGCCCTTCCATTTCTGGCATGCCGGTGGGTCGAGCATTGTCTGCCTTCTGGGGAACACAAACCCTTTTGAGTTGTTGGGAAGTTTCTGATGCGTGAGTTGTTGGGAAGTTTCTGATGGGGTCAGCTCTGGTTCTCATGGGCCATTAAAGTTGGATTGTTGAGGGCTAGAAAGGAAGACAAAAGTGCATGTCCTGAGTGGAGGTATGAAGGGTGAATGGGGACCGGACCCTGAATGGATGCCCTGAGCAAGCGAGGGGTCTACCAGATGGAAGCCCAGAGGTCCGAGCTGATGTGGAGGACAATGGACAGGGAGGGGCAGTGCCCACTGCTTGTGCAATGGTAAGAAAATGTACAGAGGGAAGGACAAACCCCAGGAGCTTTGCTCAAATACCCAGCCGCCCTGGGACTCCCAGACACGCAGGCCCAGCCTACAGTCAGGCACCCAGCCAGGTAAAGCGCCCATCCCTGGAAGGGGGTTTTTGCCCCATTGCTACTGGAGTTCATCATTGGTGGTTTATTATGATGGAGCTTGGACAAACTACAAATGGGCACTGGGTGTATCTAATGCTGTATGTGAATACTATTCATTTTTTAAAAGTATATAATTCAAATAAACATTCTTTAATAAAAATGAAAAAAAGAAATAGTGTTAAAAGCACCAAAATTGTGTGTTATAATATTGCATGTACAATGAGATAAAGGTGATAGCCCTACCTGGTGTACAAATACTTAACTCTAAAG
The DNA here is from genome assembly GCF_000001405.40 of Homo sapiens. Lineage (NCBI taxonomy): Eukaryota > Metazoa > Chordata > Mammalia > Primates > Hominidae > Homo > Homo sapiens. Next base: position 3,390,246 of record NC_000010.11, on the reverse strand, counting down.
TCCTGAGTGTAAAAAACAAGAAATACAAAGCCATACAATAACTACAATGCAGAAAAGTTGCACTACAGAGCAAAAGGCAACAGTGAAGACGTTTGGAGATTTTATAGCATTTCTGTAAGTACTGCAAATCCCCACACTGGCTGCCAGGACCCCTGGCCGGATGGTGATCATGGTGCTGGGGTGTTGGTTAGATTGCACCTCCAGGGTAGCAGAGGGTGTTTGCTAATTATTGGAGTGGAGATGGTTACCAAGCCGCCTGTCTCTGAAAATCTTGCAGAGATATTTTCTTTGTACCACAAGGCTAAAATTAAGCAGTGCGATGTTTTGTGATATAAAAGTGTGGGTTTCTCGGCCAAAGAGTTTCCCAAAACTGTCACTGCCAGACTTTCCCAGGGACCAGCACTCCAGAGGGTTAAAACAGTTTCCCATCAGTGACTGTCTTTCAAGAGGTCAGCTGTGTGTGTGTGTGTGTGTGTGTGTGTGTGTGTGGTTGTGTGTGTTTGTACACAGATGTGTGTGTCACAGGAGAATTTTTTTTTAAACAAGTGATTTGCAGTTCCTATTCCCCTTGAGAAACTTGGCTTCCTAGCAAATTGCAATATGAAAAGCTGACTAGAATTTCTCTAAGATAATTTTAGCTCATTAAATGATTATCTTGTTGTAACTAAAACCCAGACACTGTGTTAAATATTGCAGATTTATGTAGAGAAAGACAGGATACCCGCCATGAACTGAGGGTTTATGTTCCTTCAAAATGCCTGTGTTGAAAGCCTCATTTCCAGTGCGATGGTATTTGGAGATGGGGTCTTTTGGCGGTGATTTTTTTATGAGGGTGAAGCTCTTATGAATGGGGTGAGTGTTCTTTCCTTCTCTCTCTGTGCTCTCTGACATCATGTGAGGTCACAGCAGGAAGACGACCGTCTGCAAATCAAGACTCCAGTCCTCCCCGATGCCGAAACTGCAGCTGGCACCTTAATCTTGGACTTCCAGCCCGCAGAACTGTGAGAAATCAGCATCTGCTGTTTAAGCCGCCAGTCTGTGAGATTTTGCTATGGCTGCTTGAGCAGACTAAGATAATACCTGCTATCAGTTCCGAGTAGGAGGTGCCTTCCCACTCTCAAAATATACACTTCATGTACATTTAGTGAAAATTCCTCTATCTCAATGTCCATTGGCACCTGCAGGTCCCCTTAGGAATGATTTGAACCATGCCCCTCATCCCCCACCCACCCCAGACTCTGCATCCACACAGACACTTCCAAATGACAGCAGGGGCTGCGTGCAGAAGCAGGAGGCTGGCTTCTTCCTCTTGTTGTTGATATACTTCAGGTAAGAGTTCTTGTCAATACTTTGGCTAAAAGCTTTGTCATTTATCCAAAGATTTGTGTCAACTATTCCTTCACACATTTCTTCCTTTATTTATGCATTGATTCAACAAATTCTGAGGGTTCTCTGTGTCCTGAACACACGCTTGAGGTACAGGATCTATCTTAATTGTACTCCCCATATACCATTTGAGAAGACTGAAGTTCAGAGAGGTCATGAAACTCACCTCATGCCCAATAGTCAATCCTGGAGGAGTCAGGGCTTGAACTCAAGTGATTCTGATGCCAAGGTCTATATCCCTACCAGAATAAGGACTTCCACAATATCTCAACCTGGCAAGCATAAGTACCTTATGATTACCCACCAGACATTATTTGCTATTTTAAAGAACATTTTATGATAGAACATTTTAAACATACATATATTAGAGAAAACAATTTAGTAAATTAGTAAATTTTCATGCACTCGTAACCCATCTTCACCAATTTCCAATATTTTTCTTTCTTCTTTCATCAATCTCTATCAACCTCCACATTTTTTAAGCTTCAAAACTTTAAAGCAAATCTCAATGTGTCACTTTTTGCACAAATGTTTTATTATATTCCAGAAGATGTTTTTATATTTAACCACAATGCCATTATCACTCTCAAGAAAATTGGCAACAATTTCTTAATAATACCAAATGCCCAGTCTGTGTTCAATTTTCACTGATTGTATCAAAATAAATGTCTTTTCCCCATTGGTTTGTTTATATCAAAATCCCAACGTGGGCCACATTGCATTTGTTGATTTCTTACCTTTCCTATCATCTACAACAGCTTCCATTCCTTAGCTCCACCTTTTTTTTTTGTTTTGTTTGTTTGCTGGGTCTTTGGAAGAAATGAAGAAACTGAGTCATGTGTCATGTGGAATCTCCCACATTCTGGATTTGGCTGTATCCCCGTGGCTCCCTGTCTATGACGTGGTTGAAGTGTGAGTCTGATATCTAGGCACATACAGAGGCTCCTCCCCATGGAGAGCTCTGCTACTCTGCTAGGCATTCCTGTTCCTTTTTTCTTTCTTTCTTTCTTTTTTTTTTTTTTTTTGAGACGGAGTTTCGCTGCTGTCACCCAGGCTGGAGTACAATGGCATGATCTTGGCTCACTGCAACCTCTGCCTCGCAGGTTCAAGTAATTCTCCTGCCTCAGCCTCCCGAGTAGCTGGGATTACAGACATGTGCCACCATGCCCCATGCCAGCTAATTTGGTATTTTTAGTAGAGACGGTGTTTCTCCCAGTTGGTCAGGCTGTTCTCAAGCTCCTGACCTTGTGATACGCCTGCCTCGGCCTCCCAAAGTGCTGGGATTACAGGCGTAAGCCACTGCACCCGGCCAGCATTCCAGTTTCTAAAAACCATGACACACAATGGATTCCATCTCTGTTCTAGCCTGGGCATGCTGTCTTTACCTTGTGAAGATAAACCCTGTTTCTTATTGTACTTTCACTGGGGCAGTAGATACATAAATATCACACATTTTCAGTCTTTTAAGCCTAAACAAATAAGTGCAAATAAAATCAAAGTGTTTTTATTTTAAATTCCAGCTTCCATGGTCGGGCTGGAGGATGGAGTAGGTGACAGAGCGATGCAGGATCTCCCTGGAATCAGATGTGAGCCTCTTTTTCTTACGCAGCTTTCCCCTTGGAGATCTTTTCATTTCTTATGCATTCTGCTCCCACCTCCATGGTTGGTTTCTATTTCAGACCTGAATCCACATCAGATCACATCTTTCTTCTTGACTGTTCTATCACAACTTACACCTAATGTGACTACAATCAAGCTCAAGACAATTCTCCCCAAACCAGGTCTCACCCTAAAACTCCCCTTGCTTATCAGTGGCACCATGTTCAAAAGGCTTACAACCTTGAACTACTGTTTTTTTTCTTTTGTTTCCACATCCACTCCCTTACCATTGTTCAAGCCAGCATTTCTTTGTACATTCAGGAAATGCGTGTGCCATGAATGAAGCAAAGACCGATCCAAGAACAGAAGAGACATGTAGTCTTGTCTTCCTATGCCTTCTGAGGATGCCTTGACCAAGGGAAGCTCATGGAGATGAGCAAGAACCAGAAAGTCCTGAGGCTGTTGATGAACAATCAAATCCAAATGCGTCCCTCCCTTTCAGAATTGCCGGCTACCTGCTTACTTCAAGACTTAACATCAAATGATCAAAAATTATTTTCAGAAACCAAATTGTTTCCAAGACATAGGCTTTCTAGCATTGAAAAGGATCAGAAGAACATACTAAGTCCTAAAAGCAGTTTCAAAAACAGCTCTAAAGGATTTTGGCTGATTCCTTAGAATAAGCGGATGGCTTGCCAATAGCACGATTGTAAATAGCTCTACTCTGACCTAGTGGTTTGTGATTCAAGATTTGGGGCATTTATTACTGAACAAAAATCATTGTTTCTCCAATCCAGAATAGAATGTGGTTGATATGAATGTTAGACTGTTCTACATAGAGAAATTGTTACCTGGGAAACCACTCGTATTCAAAGACAACCTGACTTTTGTGCATGTTTTTTGAATGTCGATATTACACCTTTGAGTGGTTTGACCTCAACTATTTGTTTTTGTTTTTAAGACAAAGTTGGATACCTTTAGGTAAAAGTATACAGTTGTGTAACTATCACCACAATCAAGATAGGGAACAGTTTCATTGACCAAAAAGTTACCTGTGTGACTTTGCAATTGATCCTCTCCTCCAATCCCTAGCTCCAGGCCAATGCTGGTCTGCTCTCTGACATGATGGTTTTGCTTTTTATAGAATTTCATAAGAATGAAATAATATGGCATGTGCCTTTTTTGTGTTTGAATTCCTTAACTTAGCATAATGTCTTTGACATCCATCCATGTTGTGACATGTGATACTATTTTGTTCCTTTCTATTACTGGGTAGTATTCCATTGTGTGGATACTCCATGGTATTTATGCATTCACCAAAGCCAATAAGCATCTGGGCTGCTTCCAGTATTTGGCTATTAAGAATAATGCTGCTATAAACATGTGTGTACATGTTTGCGAAGACATGTTTCTATTTCTCTTTGAGAAATAGGAGGAGTGAGTTTGTTGGGTCATACAGTAAGTATATGCTAAACCTTCTAAGATTCTGACTAGTTTTTAGAGTAGCTGTACCATTTTTCATTTCCACCAGCAATAAATGAAAGTTCCATTCACTCTGCGTCTTCACCAACACTTAGTATTGTCAGCCTTTTTACATTTAGCCATTTTAGTGGGCACAACAATGTTGCATTTTGGTTTCATTTGCATTTTCTGAAAGCTAGTGATGTTAAGCATCTTTCCTCTATGTGCTTGCCATTCATATATCTTCTTTGGTGAAGTGTCTACAAATCTTTGAGCACTTTTAATCATTGAGGTCTCTTTTCTCCTTATTACTAAGACGTGTGCGTGTGTGTCTGTGTGTGTGTTCATATTTCCTTTTATATTCTGAATACAAGCCCTTTGTTGAATATATGTTCTCCAAAATTTTGTCTCAGTCTGTGGATTGCCTTTTTGTTGCCTTATCTATATTTTTCAAAGGGCAAAAGCTTTTCACCAACCTTTCCTGGAGTATCCTACAAGGAGCACACTGTTCCTGTAGGATGCCCCACCACATACTCAGGCCCTCACTACCAGCCTTCCTGACCTCCAGCAACCTCATCTCAGCCTCCCCATGGAAGCTTCATACAAAGAGCTTGAGTTAACAGAATGGCCCCACCACATACCAGGGCCCTCACTACCAGCCGTCCTAACCTCCACCTACCCCACCTCAGCCTCCCCATGGAAGTCTCATACAGACAGCTTGGAGCTTGAGTTCACTAAATGGGAAGGGATCAGTACCCAGAGCTGACAATTACGGTCAAAGTGTCTCAAACTTAGGGATATCAAAGAAAGGCCTAACTATGTGTGGTCTTATTTCAAATCATCTTGTATGGTCACATCTAAACAAGGTTAGGAACAGTGGTAAAATCAACTGCGGCCTTTGCTTTGATTTAAAAACATTCTTATCTATCGGGGGAAGATTTACCAGGAAGTTATGGAATCTTGAGCTTCAGGAATCTAGAGTTCCACGGACAGGCCCCTCCCAAGTCCTGGGGAGGGCCTTGCAATGTGTTTATGTTCATTCTAAGCAAATATAAATGTGTCTTCCTTATTCACATGTGTAATTTCGTATTCTTATTTTAGCAAACACCCCTGCCTCAAAAGATATATTTCAAGCTCTACAAAGAACTCAGGGACAAGCCAGCTAGAGTTATTTGAATGATTTAAGAGTATAGCTGCAAAGACAATGAATGTCCTCTAAATTATGAGAGAGACTGTGTGATGTGTGCAGGTGTGTGTATTCAGGCCTTGTATGCATAAGTGTGTAAGGGACTATATGTGAATATGTGTGTCAGGGGTGTGCTGTGTGCTGGCATAGAGTCTAGAAGAGGAAGAATAACCATAAGCTTGGTAAAATATCTCAGAAAATATCCTCTAACTTATTTGTCTCTGTTTTCTCTGCTTTATTTAAAAGGACAGTTTTAACAAAAACTATGTTTTTTTAATTTTTAGTTTTTATTTTTATTTCTATAGAACTTTGGGGGAACAGGTGGTATTTGGTTACATGAATAAGTTATTTAGTGGTGATTTGTGAGATTTTGGCTCACCCATCACCGAAGAGTGTCCACTATACCCAGTGGGTAGTCTTTGATCCCTCACCCCCTCCCACCCTCTCTCCCAAGTCTCCAAAGTCCATTTTATCCTACTCATGTCTTTGTGTCCTCATAGCTTAGCTCCCACTTATGTGTGAGAACATATGCCACAACCTGGATGGAATTGGAGGCCATTATTCTAAGGGAAGTAATGCGGGAATGGAAAACTATATTGTTTTTAAAACCCTGAGTTCCAAGAACAGATAATTGGCACAGAGGTCTGAATCAAGACAAGCTGACAACACATCTCAGAGATCAGCAGAGCACAGTCATAGATGGGGTCCTTGTTCAGGTATCCTCAGTTCTTCCACCTAGGAATTAGATTTCTTTACGGCCTCTCACATCATACCTTCATTTCCAAACAAGTGCACACGACTCTGGGATCGAGCTCCCATCTGTCTCAAGGACTCTCTAGAATCTTGGGTAGACCACTCGGGAATTTTGTCTGTAAGTGAAAGTGAATCCTAGGTCGCAGTGAAGGTCTTTTGTAGCTGTAATGCCCCATTAAAAATAATGCCATTACTCTTTACATGTGCTTAAGATCAAAGGTGAAGTAAGTTTTTATTTGTTCAGTGTAGTCTTCCAATCTTTTTCTATAACTTTTCTGGGTTGTTTTTGTGGCCTGTCATTTGTGGACGGCGTAGCAACCTCAAACCTACCTGTCTCTGGCCCCTGAGGGAAATGTAACTGACAAAAGTCCCAGCCACTGTGCCCCGAGACCCATCTCCATGTCCGTGCTCAGGCCATGTTTCCCCCGGCCAAGGATGAAGCACGCAGGTGAGCTAAGGCAGGTCCATCCCGAAGACATAGACGTCTCTGCTGGTAGCTTTGGATGGGGGAATCCTCACCATCTTCCCAAATTCTCTCAGGAAACTGGAGTCTCAGGTGTCTCCGCCACCTCCTTCTCTCCCTCCCTCACCTGATATCATTCCACTCACTTCCCCCTCAGCAACCACTAATCTACTTTCTGTTTTTGTAGATTTGTCTCTTTTAGATATTTCATATAAGCAGGATTTATATAACATCTGGGCTTGTGTGTCTGGCTTCTTTTGCAAAGCATCACATTTTTAAAGTTCATCTATGTTATAGCATGTATCAATATTTCATTCCTCTTTACTGACAAATAATATTATATTATATTAATGTGCCACATTTTATGTACTCATTCATGAGTTGATGGACATTTGGGTTGTTTCTGCTTTGGGCTATTATAAACAATGCACACAAAAAACTTGTGTGCAAGTTTTTCTGTGGACATATGTTCTCATTTCTGTTGGGTAGACACCTCAGAGCAGAATTGCTGAATCATAGCTACATGCTATGATTGACATTTTCAGAAAATGAAAACTGTTTTCTAAAGCAACTGCACTATTTTATATTCTACCAGAAGTGCATGAGTACTCTAATTTTTCCATGTCCTTAAGTGTGCACTATGCAAACTTGATTTAATAACATCTAAACTTAATCAGTCTGACTACATTTCTAGAAAACAACACAAGAAACTTAAAATAGATCACCTCAAGTAGATTATTCCCACCTTTCTCATGTGTTCTGGGTGGGTCAGAACCCCCCAAATCAGAACTTACTCTTATTTGCCATAGTCAAAATGTGTTTCAATTTTACTCACATATTTACTAGTTGCTTCGATTGTCACTTTTTTTCCCTCTCATTCTTATCTTTTTTCTAGAGTCACATTTTTTTTCCCTTGGTGATGCTTTCAGCAATGCTCTGTGAGCAGTAACATCTCGGTTTCCTTCTGTCCTTTTTATCCTCTTTCCCTCCCTCCCTCCCTTCCTTCCTTCCTTCTCTCTTGCTCCCTCCTTCCTTCCCTCCCTCCTTCCTTCGTTCTTTCCTTCCTTCTTCTTCCTCCCTCACTCCCTCCTTCCTTCTCTCCCTCCTTCCTTCCTTCTTTTCTTCCTTCCTTTTTTTCTTTCCTTCCTTCCTCCTCTTCCCTCCCTCTCTTCTTTTCCCTCCCTCCTTCCCTCCCTCCCTCCTTCCCTCCCTCCCTCCTTCCTTTCTTCCTTCCTTCTTTCCTTTCTTTCTTCCTTCTTTTCTTTTATTTTCCTCTTCTTGACCTAAAATATTTTTATCTTACCCTTTTATTAGTCCATTTTGTGCTGCTATAACAAAATATCACAGACTGGGCAATTTATTATAAACAGATATTTAGATCTCATGGTTCTGGAGGCTGGGAAGTCTAAGATGGGGTTACTGGCATCTTGGGGGGCCTCTTTGCCACATCATAACATGGTGATAGGCATCACATAGGTGAGACAGAGCAAGAGATGGCCGAGTTCATTCTTTGATAAGGACCCCACTCCCATGCTAATGGCATTAATTAAATTAATTAATTCATGAAGGCACAGCCCTCATGACCTAGTCACCTCTTAAAGGTCCCACCACATAACATTGTTGCATCAGTGATTACGTTTCTAACACATACTTTTGGGGGGACATATTCAAACCCCAGCAACAATAACATAAGGAAATACAGAATTCCAAGTTGACAGCTATTTCTTTTTCTGTTTTGTCCTCTGTCTTCTCCTCCAGGATTCCATCTCCATTTTGGTAGACATGTTGTCTATGTTTCCTACGACTCTTGCATATCTTTTAAATGTTCATCGTCTCTTCTCTCACAGGTATTTTAAACCTCAGATTGGGAAGAATTCTTTGAAAACAAGGAAAGCCCCGGTCTCTCGCCCAGGCAGCTCTCCAGTCTTAAGCCATTCTTCACAGTTCTCTCGACACGCAGCTTTTCTCATCTATTAACCTCCTGTGCTTATTTGCTTTTTGTTGTTGTTGTTGTTGGAGACAGAGTCTCTCTCTGTCACCCAGGCTGAAGTGCACTGGCCCAATCTTGGCTCACTGCAACCTCAGCCTCCCTGGTTCAAGCAATTCTCCTGCCTCAGCCTCCTGAGTAGCTGGGATTACAGGCACCCACCACAACGCCTGGCTAAATTTTTTTTGTATTTTAGTAGAGACAGGGTTTCACCGTGTTGCCCAGGCTGGTCTCAAACTCCCAAGCTCAGGCAATCTGCCCACCTCGGCCTCCCAAAGTGCTGGGATTACAGCCATGAGCCACTGTGCCTGGCTGCTTCTTTGCTTTTTGAAGCTGATTTCAAGTCGTCCCATCCCACAGGCTCCTGGACCCAGGATACTGTGGATACTAGCCTCCAGGGGCTGTAAGGCTTGGTGGGCATTCTGTTTCAGGTCCCCACCGAGGGGATGGGGGTCAGATATTCACTCGGTACAGCCCAAAACTTTGAGAGTCGGTGAATAGAGAATTGGCCGCTTGATCTCTGGGAGAATTTGCAGCCTTCAGTCTGTTTGTCCAACTTCACCACTGCCAAAGTTTCATAGCATAAATGATTCTTCATGAGGCAGTGAATCAGTGGCATTACAGGGACTTTTCTTAAAAATTCTACATTTTATATAACGTTCGTCTCTTCAGTGGAAATTTAGGTCTCTCCCTAGGACAGTTATAGAGCTGAAGCTAACCAACAAGACTTTATCACTTTTGAAAAGAGAGAATCATTTACCATAATCTCTTCTAAGCTTAAAGTTGGCATCCTAGTTAGTGCTTTATTTAAACAATGATAACAAGGTTCTGAGAATGAGGAGCTGGAGAATGGCAATGCCTAGAATATTCTCTAAAAAAAAAAAAAAAAAAAAAAAAAAAAAGACATTTTCCCTTTAGAAAATGATGGTTCTCCTTGGCATCCACAGCCACAACCCAATCTGTCAGGCAAACATAATTTAAAGGTTCGATTTCTTTTTATTTTCCTAACAAAATTCAAACGAAATAAATATTATTTACTTGTCCCATTGAAAAGAAGAGCCTCCTGTTCGCTCAAAACACTGTATTACCTACATCTTAATAAGTACAATAAGTTATTTAAATTCCTGTTCTTTTATTCTTATTTTCATATTTTTAAAGTATAGTCCAGTTTATCTCTTTTCTTCTGAAATGTTTCTATTGTAAAACAAAAAAGTATGCTTTATGTTAAGTTGAAAAGTGTAATAGAAAATGTTAGCATCTGTTTTGTTAGGATTTGGTGTCAGGCTAGAGAGCTTGCTCAGGTAAAACACGTGAGTGAGAAGAGGGCAGGTGCTGTCTCCCTGTTTTCTGCAGAAGAACAGAAACTCCTCTTATTTCCTGGGGGGGAAACCTCAACCTTCCTACCTGATATCAGGCCCAAGCAACCCCACTGTTCTTTGCCTCTTTGCCCTGCTCCTGCTGTTACCTGGACACTGACACTGCCGTCTCAGGAGGCACCTTCCTCCAGCCACAAGCAGGTGTGCAATGGCGTTCCCTGGCACTCCGCTCAGTGTTCCTGACACCCCGGGCAGCACCACAGACAGCATACAACAGTGCCTGTCACTGCCTCGGGCATCAGGTTGGGGTCCGTCCACACCACCACTGTGGGAAATGGAATGGAACAGACCCTTCCTTTTTGCTGGACAATTCATTTAATTGCTGCAGAATTGCTGTATGTCACCAACTACTCTCACACACAGTAGTTTAAAATCACAGGTTCTGCAGATTTCTCAGTATTCTGTATCTGTGCTCAGTGACACATCAACTTAGTGATGCTGGACTGTCAAGGATGGACACACAGGTGCGGGCCTCCGGGAAGAGGCTTGGTGGCTGGAGCTCCACCTTGCAGGAGAACTGGGGCTTATCCACACTATGGAGGAAGGCTCTGGAAGAGCTGCCAGAGCAAGCCAGCCTCTGCTTGGGCCTCTCTTCTCCTAATTGTTTTCATAACTGTTTAAGAACCCCAACCAACTGGTACAGGGAATGCCCAGTACCTAAGACACAATACAGATTCAAAGGTGGAGGCGTTCCCCCAACAAGACCAAAGACTTCAGGGTCTGGTATTGGAATTGGGAGTGTAGGGCTTGTGTTTTGGGTGGATTGCTGGGTGTGTGGCATGTCCGAGCTTTGGCCAGCTGTGAACAGAGGGATGGTCACTGTTCCCCGGCAGTAAGGTTTGGATTCAAGTGTGTTTGAAGTGTCTGGTTTCACGTGTCATATAATTTCTGAAAGGATGCCAGGTAGGTCGAGCTCCTTGCTGGGCTCCTTCTCAATGTGGGCCACAGTGTCCTTCTGAGGGTTCTGTTTCTCTGAATCCTGAATAACAAGTCCCGGTGTCTCTCCCGACATGCCCACATTGTTGATCACGACCCTTCAAGCCAACTGCAAATGTCTCCTGGGGGGAAGAGCTGGCGTCAGTGGCCCTGACAACGGGTGCTGCCAGTGTGCCCGTGTTTAATATCCTACTGACCAGAGCAGCTCCAGCCCAGTTCAAATCTCTGCAAACATCTATCGCAACTACACTATGGGCTGTACAGAACATGGGCAAGGGTTTGTGAAGGTTTAGGGCCATTCAGTGAAACCTGCAGCTTGAAGGAATAAGGCTGAGATTCTCACGCTCCCTGCTCTGTGTGTTTCCAAGGAGAGACGCCCGAAGTGGAGACATCCTCTCTTCTTCCCTCACTGGCCTCTTCTGGAGCCCAGGGTCATGCCTCAAATCTCCTTCTCATTCCCTCATGAAACCCACAGAGGGGCTGGGAACAGTGTCTCTGGGGGCCAGGCCGACCACCAAGAAATTCCATCACACCCACTGGGACCCCCATGGTGAGCAAAGCCAAGGGTCCAGGGCCTCAGGGGGAGACCGGAAACCACCCTATCGAATTTCCCGTTTTATATCCTCTATGTTTGACAATGAAATCATGCTGCATCCTTTAACTGGTGAGCCAGGTGAGTTAATGTAGGTCTGGCTACAGAGTGAGTGTGGTGCTCATGCGAAAGTAAATGCATGGCCCCTTTACAAAAATTAGGGTTCTAAGACAGACACAGCACAGCTCATGCCAGTTTCTCTCCGCATGCTACGCCGTGGCCAGAAGCTGTGGGCAGCACATGTGTGTGCGTGTGTGTGTGTGTGGTGTGTGTCCTTGTGTGTGTGTGAATGTGTGCATAAGCGTGCCTCTGCATGTGGACAAATCTGTGTGCATGTCAGGGGGAGCTCACTATAATCTCAAAAGACACAATACTGAACCCTGTAATCCTGAATGTGGAGATCCTTAAAGATCAAAATCTGAAAAATATTATTCTGGAAAAAATAATTTAAAATTCTTTAAAAGGTATATATATTTACATGTTAAAAAGGGGGGATTCACTTGATAAACATAGACAACCTGACAACACTAATAGGTCCTTTACTTGATAAGATAGGCAGCAACAGCATTCATATTTTCACAAGCATACACACCCAGGTACACAAACGTGGTCACACGGGCATGCCAGTTACAAGCAAAACAGAGGGGCCGTCTAAGAAAGCGGCCCAGAAGCTTACTCTCTAAGCACGTATCACTGTGATGGGCAACTGTGCACCCAGCTGTATAACCACCACCTTCTGCCGCACCGCGATGGACATTCCAAGTCTTTTGATGAGACGGATCAAAAACCACGTGTGTGCCGCGCCTAAAGAGCCACAATCTGGCGAAATGTTCTCACTCACAATGCAGATGTGGGAAAAGGACATCTCTTCATTTACTGAGGAAGACACACACGCACAGTGTTCACGCACAATGAAAACATGGCGAGAATGTATTCTACGGAGCTGCATTTGCAGAAAATGCACTGAACAGATTAGAACTCTCTCAAGGCCTCTACACAAGGTAAACCTCCAGTATTGAAGATGATGCAAAGGTGAAATTCACTGCATAGCAAATTGAAAAAGGAAAATGCTGGCAATTTAAAATAGTGAAAAATAACTAAAAACAGAAAAAGAGACTAAACTAAATTAAAAGAAAAATTTGACATTTGAAAAAGTGTCTCACAGGGATAGATTATGGGCATCCATGGGAGATGGGCCGTAAAAGCCTACTGTTCATAATTATTAACTGTTCATAATTTAAAATAGTGAAAAATAACTGAAAACAGAAAAAGAGACTAAATAAAATTAAAAGAAAAATTTGACATTTGAAAAAGTGTCTTACAGGGATAGATCATTGGCAACTATGGGAGATGGGCCGTAAAAGCCTGCTGTTCATAATTATTAACTGTATTTTGAAGTCTTTCATCGAAATCAGTAGCTGCCTTTTTTTCTTTTGGGACATGGTTCTCCTTGGAAAATACAATTCACGTGCATTTTCTGCGTGGTGCTGCTCCACTTGGAATTCCTCTATGAGTTGACACGCGCGGGAGTGCGTATTTCCTATTAAGTTTTTCCGTCTTCTGCGCTGCGCTCCTGTGTAGTTTTAGGCATGCAGAAACCCACTCTGTGTGCACTCATGTGTGGACCACAGATCTGTCAAATAAGCCTGAACAGTCACACTGTTGCCTGAGCGTCTCCCTATCCTACCTCGCACGTGATTATTTTTCAACCAGCCAGGAGCCTCGTGGACTCCTTCAGGCAAAGGCAGATTTAATTCGTTAAAGCTCCTGGAACATCATCAGCTGGAGGGAACGCGACTGCAGGCAATGGCACATTTTAAATCGAAGTTTTCCTTGTCATATCTCGTGGCCAATTTTTCACCTAATGCATTTTTCACCTAATGAATTTTTCACCCGAATTTTTCACTTAATGCATTCGGAATTTTTCACCTGATCCATCTGAATTTTTCACCTAATGCATTGGGATGTATGAAAACGAAATAAATTTTATTGGAAATACCTTGAAATTCACCTGTAGAAACGTTGATCGCACCAAAATTCAAGTCTGTCATTATGGTTTGGAGATTCCATTGGAATTCATAATATTCTGAATAAAGAAGAATAACAAGGTAATAGTCCCTCCTAACGCCATGCAACTATATCCTGTGATTGTGATTTGGGGGGTTTTAGTTGTTCAGGATTTTAGACTTCAGGGATTTTGATCTCTTGGGATTGTCTGTAGGGCTTATGATTCAAGACTGGGCATGTGCTCCATCTGTCCATTCCATCGGGGTGGTTTTACACGAATTTACGGGAGATGGTGAGGACCATGCCACGCCTGTCCCTCCCTGTGAGGCCCGCAGAGGAGCGTCACCCATCGGTGTGGGTGGGGTTCTGCAGGAGAAGGCACGGAAGCCCATGCGCTCAGGGTCACTTTGCCTTCTCCCCTGCGTCATTGAAGAAATGCCCCCAGGAAGCATTAGGTGCTAGGTGCAGTGACACAGCTGTGAGGACCTGAGTTCCTGCGAGGTGTTCCTAATACAGTTTGTTAAGGAAAATCACAGGGAAGGAGACAGCACAGAGCTTATCAAGTAGGGTGGTAATAGGGGCAGTGTTGGTGGCTAAACACCAGAATATGAACCAGCCTGGAGGGTCCAGGGGCAAATTCCTAAAGGACTAGAGAAAGAGAGGCAGAGAGAAGGAGAGAGAGGGAGGGACTAAGAGAGAAGGAGTCAGAGAAAGAGAGAGAGGAGAGAGAGAACAGCGGCAGGACAGGCAGGTCTGTGCTTCCGCTGGGAGGTGTCCTCCAGGAGCCAGAGCCTCTACACAGCTGTGTGTGGATGCCCAGGCAGGGGAGCAGTGAGTGAGGTCAGCAGTGACCTACAGTAGCGGTCCCCGTTTGTCATCTGAAGTTTTTAGGGATGACTTCTCATCATCATGCATGCAGGTGGGGAAAGTTTGTACCAAGCAGGAAACTATTTCCTAGTCTCGGGGTAAAAGTTTGAGATATAAAAAGAATGATATTTATCCTACATATAAGCAGTTCTTTTCCTCCACGTCCCTCCTGATCAGGCTCTGCTGCACAGACCTCTCTGCCGGCCCTTGAATGCCCTTCTCTCTTACTGGGCTTCTCAGAAGATCTCACGCCTCTGTCCTGCCTGAGCAGGTGCATGCCCAGCTTCTGCCCTCTCACTCCAGCACCCACTGGGTTCTGCTGAGTGCAAGTCCAGTGTTATTTGGCAGCAGCCAAAGCCTTTAGTTTGATCCCTGTTTTTGGCCTCATTAAGGAAATAATTTGCCTCACAAGGGAACGTAGTTTAAAAGTCCTAAGGCTGAAATTGCTCCTATCTGGTGAGGATACAATATAAAGAACTGCCTGCATGCCTATGACCAATTGTATATGACTTATTAGTTACCATGAATCCCTCTGTGTTAAAATTCTGGTTTTATCCAGTGGAAGACATTGGTATTCACTTGAATAATGACATCTTCAGTAAAAGACAGCCATGCTAATTTTATGAAATATTATCTACTGGTAGCTTATGCTGGTTTCACAGTTTTTCCCCTCTTCTACTCAAGAACGGGATATGATCAACACCTTGAATGATTTTCTCTTTAACACGGAGTAATTTATCTGCCCCTGTATAAACTGCGTTCCATTTTTCTTGGCATAATGGCTTCCTCTTTTGATGAAATGAGCCTTTTGCATTTATGAAGAATATGTGTAATGTTGGCTGCTGGCTGAGATAACTTAACAACTTTCTGAATTCAAATATTGGTAGAGTGCATGGATAACAGCAACTAGTAATTAAGGGGGTGTTGATTGGTTCAGCCTGGTCTAATCATAGACTGTATAATAAATCATACGGTGTTTTGCAATTAGGAAAATCCATACTAAATAACAAAGTACTGTTATCTTAGTAGCCTTAATAAGTATAGAGTAATGCATTATGGAATAATTGCTACAACAGACTGTACCTGTTTCGAGTCACTCTCCATTCATCACACGCAACAAACCTCTTGTTTTCATGGAAACTGCTGTTCTGGTTAAAAGGCACTGGTGAAATACTCCGCTAATATCCCCCGAATGCTTGTTTCTCCTCCAGGAATTTTCCATATCTTCGAATGCTAGGAGAGCCTTCTCCCTCTATCCCCACCCAGGTGGTGACTAAAGTCTCCATTATTTCAGCAGTACCCACTAGTACCGCAACATTTATAGTGCTTTCAGCATTTCCATTACAGACCTCTAAGAAATGACCAGCTATAAAGCAAAACTGAACCAGCTGGGAACAAAGTTGGCATAAAGAGATTGCAGCCTGAGAGTAGGTATTCTTTTTTATGAAGATTTTTCCATTTAGTTTTAAAATATACAGAAGACTTTTATTTACATTTGCCATCTATTTCACAGAAAAAAAATACAAAAGAGAATTGTATTACTTTTAAAATTCTAGCTTATATTGCTTCTAAAAAAAGACACTGTAAACAACTTTTATCTGGATTCCTGTTTAGTTAATAGAGTCCTTTTTTCTTCCATGACATGCTTCAATTTATAGCTATGAAAAGTTAAAAAGCTATGAACTCTGTTGTTATCATCATTTGACTGAATCGTGTTTTGAAAAGACTACATATCTTACAGCTGCAAGGGATCATGAGATTATTTAATGCAATAGTCATTTGTGAGAGGAAGAAGCTGAGGACACATGGAACTTCCCAAGGTCATAGGCCACGTGAATTACAGAGTTGAGGTTCTAACGCAAGGCTCAGGAGCTAAACCCAGGACACACGGAACTTCCCAAGGTCATAGGCCATGTGAATTTCAGAGTTGAGGTTCTAACGCAAGGCTCAGGAGCTAAACCCAGGACACACGGAACTTCCCAAGGTCATAGGCCATGTGAATTTCAGAGTTGAGGTTCTAACGCAAGGCTCAGGAGCTAAACCCAGGACACACGGAACTTCCCAAGGTCATAGGCCGTGTGAATTTCAGAGTTGAGCTTCTAACGCAAGGCTCAGGAGCTAAACCCAGGACACACGGAAGTTCCCAAGGTCATAGGCCATGTGAATTTCAGAGTTGAGGTTCTAACGCAAGGCTCAGGAGCTAAACCCAGGACACACGGAAGTTCCCAAGGTCATAGGCCATGTGAATTTCAGAGTTGAGCTTCTAACGCAAGGCTCAGGAGCTAAACCCAGGACACACGGAACTTCCCAAGGTCATAGGCCATGTGAATTTCAGAGTTGAGCTTCTAACGCAAGGCTCAGGAGCTAAACCCCCACACCCAGATCTGCATCCAAAGGGCAGCTGTTATCAAGTGTCATCCCCAGTCCCAGGCACCAGGGCCCACGGCTGGGCTGAGATCTCCCAATTCTAATCTCTCGTGACCCTTCACTGCTCTGCACTTGGCGGAGCCTTCACCCTCACTGGGTTGTGATGAGACCTAAAGTCAGACATGTTCTATGGGACTTCCAAAGGCACGTGGCAGCCCCAACGACAGGTCAACCCTGCCATCCCCGTCGCCCTCATTACTAACTAATACTGATGGAGCAGTGCCACTGCTGAGGACCCCTAGAGACACTGTGTGTGCATCGTTTACCCTCATGCCATCAGGAGGGCGCTCGGATTGATGCAAACCGCAGGCCAGAGAAGGAACCTGGGTGACTGTCCAGATGGCAGGTGTTCCTAATACAAGCAGTGAGCCTTGTCTGGGAATCCAGCCTGGGGCTCAACCCCTAGACACACTACACCAACCAAGATGAAAGCAGTTTGCTTTGAAAATTATGCATTTTAAAAATGGTAAAGTGTTTGTTTACATTAAATTATACAATCTTCTTAGTGACCTATGGGCTCCATTTTTTTTTTTTTTTTTGAAAATGTGTTCCTTTTGTGATTCTGATTTGTTACAAATGAAGCCACCTTTGCAAGACGATGACAGTGAGAGATGTCTGGCATGGCCAGCTCCATCTTGATTCTAGCCTCACAGGCTGGCTGTCTTCCCTCATTCCTGGGCATAGGCCAAGCTAACCATGGGAGGAATTTAGTTCATAGTTTATCTGTGAAGCAAGAATGATTATAAGTTCCTCCATAAACTGGTTCCTTCCTTGTTTGGGGCTGAAACTGACTCTGTAAGACTAACGCAAGGGCACAAGATTAGGATTTTGTGACGGGCCTGGATTCTGCTATAATATAAGAATAGTTTCTATAATCTCTCACTGCTCAGGAGCCAAGTGGCCAGAGAGCACAAGATTTGTGACTTCCTCAATTGCTCCTATAGCTAACATGACTATTGTGGAACCTAAGATTGGTCTTTTGAGATGTTTTTCAAACTTTTTTTTCTTTTTTTTAAAATTCTGAGATATATGTGCAGAACATGCAGGTATGTTACATAGGTATACACGTGCCATGGTGGTTTGCTGCACCCATCAACCTGTCACCTGCATTAGTTATTTCTCCTAATGCTCTCTCTCCCCTAGCCCATCACCCCCCCAATAGGTCCTGGTGTGTGATGTTCCCCTCCCTGTGTCCATGTGTTCTCACTGTTCAACTCCCACTTGTGAGTGAGAACATGTGGGGTTTGGTTTTCTGTTCCTATGTTAGTTTGCTGAGAATGATGGTTCCAGATTCATCCATGTCCCTGCAAAAGACATGAACTCATCCTTTTTTATGGCTGCATAGTATTCCATGGTATATATGTGCCACATTTTCTTTATCCAGTCTATCATTGATGGACATTTGGGTTGGTTCCAAACTTTTGCATTCTAGCAACTGACTGAGCCCACCCAGACTTGTGACTGATGACTCAACCAGTCCCCTGGACCCCACCAAGAGGTGGACTCAGAACATGAGGACTGCACTCCACACTCCTGTGATTGCATCCCCAGCCAACCATCAGCACCCATTCCCTGGTCCCCTGCCCACCAAACTATCCTTAAAAGCCCCAACCTTCAAGCCTTTGAGGAGACTGATTTGAGTAATAACTGTCTTCCACGTGGCCAGCCCCACATTAGTTAAACTTTCTTTACTGAAATCCCACGGTCTCAGTGAACTGGTTTTGTCTGTGCAGTGGACAGAGAGAACCCATCAGGTGATGACATGTAGACTCAGCCTTTGACACTGAGGCTGATGGAAGAGCAGGAAGCCCCATATTGTTCATTTAGTCACAACACACATGTGTATTTTTCCAACTACAGCACACAATATAGTAATGGATTTAAGCCCATCTGTTAAAAATGCTGTACAATATAGTGAGTGTAGTTAATAATAATGTATCATATACTTGAAAATCACTGAGAGTAGATTTTCAGTGTTCTCACCACACACAAAAAATAAGTATATGAGGTAATGCAGGTGTTAATTAGATCAAGCTAGCTGTTTTACAATGTATACATATTTCAGAATACTATGTTGCATGCCATAAATATATAGAATTTTTATTTGCCAATTAAAAATAAATTAAAAGAGTATGGAAAGTGAGAAAATGCTATGCCCAAGAGGAATCTAAGGAAATTAGACAACTGAGTATATCAGGATCTCCTGGATGGCTCCTGAAACAGAAAAAGGGCATTGTATAAACACTAAAGAAATGTGAAGAAAGTATGGACTTTAGTCAACAGCAATGTACAATATTGGCTAATCAATTGTGAGAAACGTACTTCACTAATAGAAGATATTAATAATCAGGGAATTGACCGTAGGTTGTAGAGGAACTCTTAGTATTATCACCCCAACTTTTCTATGAATCTAAAACTAAAGTAAAAAGTTTATTAAAAAACAAAAACATTATGCTACATGAAAAAAGCCAATCACAAAAGACCACGTCATATGATTCCATTTCTTTGAAATGTCCATAATAGGGAAATCTAAGAGACACAGAAGAGATTGGTGCTTCCTGAGGACTGGCAGTGGGGCGGGGTGGGGGCGGGGGGGGTGGAGGGGAGGGTGGTGACAGGTAACAGACACGGGCTTTCTTAGATAATGAGAATATTCATGTTCTAAAAGTTAATTGGTGATGGTTGCACATATCTGTGAATATATTAAAAACCATTACATTGTACACTTTCATTGGGCAAATTGTATGGTATGAGAATTATGTATCAATAAAGCCTACTAATTTAAAACATGCTATAAACTAAGAAGTCATAGAGAGCTGTTGAAATTTACAGGGTCAGTAATGAGCCCTTTTCAGACAAGTGCTTCAAAGGGCCAATAAAATAAACACTAAATATCAGTCTTTATTAGATATCAATATTCAAAGACATAAATTTTATTAAAAATATAGTCATTCAGGTCTGTTGAATTAAAATCTGTGTAAATTTAGAAACCTCACAAAAAGCAAATCTATCTTTCTACATATGTATACAGATATATTTTAAAAGTGTAAATGGCTAAATTAAAACACTTTTATTGTGAGGGTTTACAGAAAAAAACAGAAAAATACAGTGCAATTAAAAACATATATTATTTATTAAACTAAAGAATAGACCCTCTGACTGTCAAAAACTTTACTTTTTAATATGAAGCGCTCAGCAATAATTGTATTCACAAAACACAAAGGTTTAACAGCCAGCAGATTCAATCTGTGAATCACGGCTATTGAGCCAACCACTTCTTTTTATTTTTATTTATTTTATTTTTTTTGAGACAGAGTTTTGCTCTCATCACCCAGGCTGGAGTGCAGTGGTGTGATCTCAGCTCACCGCAACCTCCGCCTCCCGGGTTCAAGCAATTCTCCTGCCTCAGCCTCCTGAGTAGATGGGATTACAGGCGCCCGCCACCAAACCTGGCTAATTTTTCTGTATTTTTAGTAGAGACGGGCTTTCACCATGTTGGGCAGGCTGGTCTTGAACTGCTGACCTCAGGTGGTCCACCTACCTTGGCCTCTCAAAGTGCTGGGATTACAGGTGTGAGACACCACACCCAGCCTGAGCCAACCGTTTCTAAAGGCAGGAGATGTGAGAAGGGACAGAGGCTCTATGGGTGATTCCACATGAACAAGCTTCCGGCTTTGCACCTCGGCTAATCCCAAAGCTCGTGTTTCGTGTTTCCCTAACATTCCAGAGGTTTTGTTGGTTTGCATCCTGGCTTTTCCTCTCTCCTCTTAGAGAGGCTTCCTCACCTCCCCGGCCTCTCCAGGCACCCTTGTCTTCGTCCCTTCCTTGGCTCTATTCACTTCCTTTTCCAACCTCCCAAATGTCTGCTTCTCTCTCCTCCAGCCACTTCCCCGACCCTGGCAAGGCTGTGAAGCTACAGGGCATTATTTAGCATATATTGTGTCTATTGGTTAAAATGTGTTCCCCATCCCTGGAGTTTAAAACAGCTGAGTTGAGAGTTTCCTGTTTGTTTCTACAAGCCAGTGGTTCTGAATGTGAGGCCGGGCAGGCATCGCAGGAGAACTTCTGAGAACTGCAAATTCTCAAGGCCCCCGATGCCCCCAGGCCTACGCCTCTGGAAGCTCTGAGATGGGGCCCAGAAGCTGGGCCTTAACGAGCCCTCCCAGTGGTTCCGATGCATGTTCAGGTTTGGGAACCGCGGGTCTAAAAGAAACAAAACCCATTCAAGGACATTTGGGTTCCATTGTTGCCCTGTCTCTCGCTCCCTACTCTCACTGTCTTCTTTGTGAACACTAAAGGAAAAACGGCGCTGCACTGCGAAATGCCTCCTGAGGCGGTGGGGAGAAGGAGGCCAGATTATTCCACTACCTCAAACACAGCGTTCAAACTTGATGTTGCATCAGAATCCCCTGGAGAAATTGTTCAAAAACTCCAATTTGGTGGATCTGAAATGGACCCAGGGTCTGCATTTCTACCAGGCTCTCATGGGACAGGCCCAAGATCTGCATTGTTGCCAAGCTCCCGTGAAAGCTGATGTGACTAATCCAGGAACCACACTGGTGTCAAAGGACACACTGATTTACTCCTTGGTTGATCTGGTTAATTGCCGTAAGGGGAAAGAGTCCCAAATAACACATGGAGGTGCCACTGTAACCATAAATAAGGACTAAGAATAAAGTTCCCAGCAAGCTCATGTTGGATTCATTCCACTGTGCTTATATCTAATAACCAGAAGGGAGAAGACATCAGGCCTGAGAGATCCTTTTCCTCTCCAGCAAGCTGACCACAGCTGCTGTCCCCGCCATTTCCCCAGGCTTCCCTTGCCTCTTCGGATTTAAGGAAAGGGTTGATAAGGCCAACATTCAAATTACCTGTAGTCAATTCCACATTTTTCCCACCTTGCAGCACTTTTAGAACTTTTCGGAAAGTCGCTTCTTACTTGTGTAGCTAGACAGAAAAATAAGCCAGTCCTATCAACTAGGAAGGCTGATTGATCAAGAAGCTTTCCAGATAACATTATTAGTTTGTCACTATTGTGTTAATGAGAATGCAACAATGTAACTCCAAATGACATCTTGTGTGATTCAGTGTTGTTTTCATGGTTGAGTGAGATGATACGTGTAAAGATATTTAATAATGTTCTGGATATGTCTTCCCATATGACTCCTATAACTTACCCTGTATCGTTTCACAATGGTCTTCATTATCTTTGCAGTAGAGATTGATTTGCTTTGTTTCCTGTATTGCTGTGCTGATGTGGCATGTTATTATTTAGTGAACTAATATTTGCAAAATTTGTTTGTTTATGAAAAGAAATCTAGGAAAACTATTTGACTGTCACTTCCAACCTCTGGATAAGATTTGCTATGTCAGATTTATTTCCTGTAATACGATCAGCAATATAACAGTAACTCTTTATAAAAATAACGATTTTTCGGCTGGGCGCTTTGGCTCACGCCTATAATTCCAGCACTTTGGTAGCCTGAGGCAGGTGGATCACCTGAGGTCGGGGTTTGAGAACAGCCTGGCCAACATAGCGAAACCCATCTCTACTAAAAATACAAAAAATTAGTCGGGTGTGGTAGCAGGTGCCTGTAACCCCAGCTACTTGGGAGGCTGAGGCAGGAGAATTGCTTGAACCCGGGAGGTGGAGGTTGCAGTAAGCCAAGGTGGTGCCACTGCACTCCAGCCTGGGTGACAGGGTGAGACTCTGTCTCAAAATAATAATAATAATAATAATAATAATAATAATAATAATCTTTACAAAAATATGTGGTCTACATTGAATTTTTGAAAACAGTTTCACTCCTATTATTTCATCTTCAGGATACCTCCTGAGATAAGTATGTTCCTCTCAATAATAATTATTATTATTATTGGGTACTAGGGAATGAGAGAGGCGATAACAGTAGAACCCAATAATAATAAATATATAATAAATAATATAAATATATAATATATGCATAATATACAATAAATATTATTATTGGGTTTTATTGTCTCCTCCAATAGAACTAATAATAAATTATTATTTATTTATTAAATAAATAATGTACATTTATAATTATCTGTAATACATAATTTATTATAATAATAAATTATGATCAAGAGAATTTGAGATAACATAAATATTTGGTGTGAGAACTAGAACTAAAACCTGCCTTCCTGACTCACTGTTTCTATTCTTTGGTAAGATCATCTTCGTTTCTTTTTCCTCCTGAGACCAGAGACCCACTCAACGCCACTATTCGGAAACTCATATATGGATGACTTGCATTTTTTCTAATTAAGAACGTTAGCAAACTTGGTAGATTCTAACCTTAAATATGTTAAATTTGCTACTCAGAAATGAAATAGCCAATCTACAAATAGAATTAAACAAAAACCAAGTAATTATTTTCCCACTGCTCATTTTCATAAGCATGTATCTTGCTAAATCTTACAATCTGCTTCCTGCTACGCTAGACTCTGTTGAGGACACAAAAATGACCCGGCAGGGTTTCTAACTGGAGATGCTTGTGATCCGGGTGGATGGGATGAGGACAGGAAAGAGGGGACCAAGCTTACCGTCAAGCTGTGAATCTATGTGCGTTAATGAACGTATCTACAAGCTGCCTTATTCATTTAATTAAGAACAAGGTTTACTCTTTTCTCACAGGTTAAAAAGCTTCAAGTTAAATAATATTGCTGATGTGCTATAGGGAGTTGGCATTACAGTTTTATCTCTCTACTCTGGGGTCCATTATACCCTCACACAGTACGCATGGCTCCATTTAATGGTAATGGAAGTCACACTTGGGTATTGGAAAGATAATTTTCCCCTCTAGAATTTGCACAAGACAATCCTTGAGGGAATAATATTTTTTACAGCCCAGTCATTGCCCTACCTGGACCCAACAAGTAACTCTGCACAGTAATTAAATAAGCACAACAGGCAAATTCAAATTTCAAGAGTCTGAGTTTTATGGTTACAGATGTTCTTCCCAACATAGTCTATTCAGCAGTTCCTTGGGTCATAAATGTTTAATTTTTAATCTATTTTTTATCGGTTTTGGGCAATGCAGGCTGCTAGTATACCAAAAGAATTTTCACTAGTACATTTTACATGCAGGAAGTTTGCAGTAATAAAAGTTTTAACAAAATAAAATCAGGTATGTTCCCTTAAGGGAGTGAACATTGCTTTAGCTGAAAACACAGGTCAATGTCCTTGTTCTAGAACAGGGACTCTACCGATCTCACTTACAATATTGTTTGTGAGTGGCAGTCTATTTGCAGACTTAATATCATCCAGGGAATCACACGACTTAACTTGCAGATGTGCTATTGAAAACACATAGAGTTACATCATCTATTTGCACGGCAAATGTCCTTTGAAATGATTCACAGACTCGAAACAATAGCCATTTCAGGATATATTTATCTTTTATGACTCAAACACCTGCCCCACTTTTCAGGGGACCTTGTGGTATAGACAATATGTGCAGATAAAAGGTAAATTGTTGTTAAAATACCACAAAAAGGAACTGACAAAAATCACAGCTGACCTCGCGTGTTTGCATATTTATCGGCAGCTATCAACCTGATTTTTAGTTGCCCGGAACATATATTAATTATTACATTATACTGTGGGCGCAGAAGTGAAATCTTCTGAGTTTGTTTGTTTGTTTTTATAACATACAACACAGCACAGGGCCTGACAATTTACAAAAGATCACTGAACTTCCCATTTACCTTGACATATCCAGAACTTTATCTCAATCCTTCCTTTGGGTAGACCTGCCCAATATACCAAAAGACAGGGTGAGTTAATCAGCACATTTAGGCAAAGGAGACTTACTGAAAGTGAAAGAGGCGGCAGGCTCTTCAGTCAAAAGGGGCACTGGCAAAGGAACTAATGGGTACCGCTGAGACCAAGGCAGAAAGGCCAAGACAGAAAGGAGGCGGGGGCCGAGCTCGTGCTCTCCCGCTACACCTAATTCCGTTGTCCTTCCAGCTCAGAACCTCCCTGAACAGCAAAGACCCTGCCTGGTTGCCTTCTCTCCTGCACTGGGTCTCCCTGTCAATTCCAGGGTTGCCGTTGTTATAACACACAGAATAATCTTACTTCAAACCAACAACACCCCACTTCCCCCAGTGTTCCTAACATCAAAACATCAACTGTCCTTCCAGGACAAATGTGAATGTTCGACTGCACTTTGCCCTTTCCGACACCCAGGTTGCAGCCCCACGGCTCATTTAAGGGAAGGCAAAGCTCCTGTGGCTGTAGGACTCTGAGAAGCTCGCATGCCTCTGGCAAATTAAACACTGTGATCTGTTCTCTGCAGAGTCCTTCCAGGGCTGGCTTTTCCTCCTGCTCAGTGGCTCACAGAGGAGGCTGCTTTTTCAAACCAAGTAGCCTATGGAAATATTAAAGACACTATGAATAATGATGCTTGTTCTTCATTATTGTATTTATTTTAGTTTCTAGCACTTCAGTTAGTTTGTAACTTTAGTTAGTTTACAGCACTTGATCAACTTACAATTCACAAATAACACTTTCACCTCTGGAGGGAGGACTGGAGTTCCAAAGATCTCCACTTGAATTCCGGCGTTCTGTTTGTTGGACAAGGGCATGTTATTTGCTGGGTCTCTGTTTTTCCTTTCTTCTCCCACAGTAAAGTATAGATTCATAAAAGTACCTAGCACATAGACTGGGCACGGTGGTTCACACCTGTAATCCCAGCACTTTGGGAGGCCAAGGTGGGCGGATCACCTGAGGTCAGGGGTTTGAGACCAGCCTGACCAATATGATGAAACCCCGCCTCTACTAAAAATACAAAAATTAGCCGGGCGTGGTGGCATGCGCCTGTAATCCTAGCTACTCAGGAGGCTGAGACAGGAGAATCGCTTAAACCCGGGAAGCGGAGGTTGCAGTAAGCCGTGATTGTGCCATTGCACTCCAGCCTGAGCAACAGGAGCGTAAACACCATCTCAAAAAAAAAAGTACCTAGAACAGAGGTGAATCTCAGGACAAGTGGAATCTGGGGTTTTGTCTACCGCCTCAAGTAAGGAAAAGCAGAGATGCCATCACTTGCTTAAAAAGACCACCCAGCTAATGAAGGTGGGGCTTGGATAGGAGCAAAGGTTCTGCGGAGTGAGCCCTTGTTCAGGAGGACTGCTAGGTCAAAACTACTTGTTTAATGCTAAACAAATCATTGTTTAGGATTATTGTTACAAAATACTATTATAGTCACAACACATGACTCTTCATAGTATTATTCCAAGACTTTCCTGCCTTCACTCTCATTCTCTCTTGAATGTACAGTGGAGTATTCCAGAGGTTATGTGATGTACACTAGTGCAGTGTATTGAATGTGAAAGCAGAGAAGACCCAGCTGTCTTGCATTAAGCCAGACATGAACAATTTGCAAAAATGTAAAATAATGCCATTCTTATCTCTAATTTTGTTGGAGATTATAATGACTTTTCATAAAAATATTTATATTAACATGTAGTTGGGTCATTGTTCTTATTTGTAAATAAAGTAATAAACAAATATCTTAAAATGTTCACAGTTTAAAATTTAAATTTGGCAAATAGAGATAAATGTAAGCACATAGCAATAGCTCTGGAAAGCCACATTTTTTCAGAGCGTAGAGAGATCCCGAGACCACAAAGTTTTCAGTACCGCTGAATCTGAGAGTGTTTCTCAAACTCTGATGAGTGTATCCATGACCAGGGCCTTGTTGCAATGCAGATTCTGGGACAGCTGGTCCAGGAGAGGCCTGAGAATCTTACCCTTGGTAAATGTGGCTGTTGAGCTCAACATAGTTCACTGTCAGAGCTTGGGAGGAATGGGAGGTTAAGTTGGAGCCATGGCCTGTCTGCTGTGACGCTGTGTCCCTGGGGGAAAGGGAAGCCTCTCTGTGTCCTACAAACCCTCTCCAGAGTCCAGTGGGGTGAGGCCTCATGTGCCCAGCCACTAAGCGGGCATGACACATGGGGAAGACAGTAAACAAAAACAAAAACCATGTCAAGCAAATCCACGTTGGCTTCAGGGTTAGGGCGTCCTGGTTATCCTGGCAGTTTGAGAGAGAGGCTGTCAGCATGGGGTACACAGGGGGTTTTTAATTTGGGATTAGATCCCTTTTGTTCTCATTTACTTTGTTGATCTTTTTATTCTTTTTTCTTGTCCTCCTCATAGTGTTCATTGCAAAGCATTAGTTTTCTTCTCCATGTTTTTCTATTCCTTGACTAAAAATTAGTTTAGATTATTAATAGAGATATCATATCTTCAAAGTTCATAATGTTTAACTAGCATTGGCTTATGGTAGGGCAGGCTCCAAGATCTCCTCTGCTGCAGGGACAGATGGTGGTGGTCAGGTAAACCCAAACAGCACCGATAACCTCACCAGTGGCTCTGGGAGGGGGAGAAAAAGGAAGGTTTATCATCTACTGGAGAGAAAGGTATGAGAGTTGGAGAAGACAAAGACATTGAATTCAAATTACCTTCACTTTATGAACTAGGACATTAAGTGTTCAATACCCACAGGTTTCCATGGTAGCTGTCAGTCCTGACTCAGATTTCACAGGAACAGAGGTGAGGAATTAGTCAGAGGGTCCCCACTGTCACAGAGGAAGAGTGTGTGGGCTCTTCAATCTTGTGAGAGTGTACATCAGCCTCTCCAAACAAACACAGTTAAAAAATAAAGGGAGGAAAGCTGTCAGTTGAGGGCCTTGAGTGTACTTAGTGGATAAAATACTTTGTTCCTCATGGAATAAATCTCTCCACTGACAGATTCAGAGCAACACTCTCCTTTAATGAGAGTTAAATGCCTATTTCCTATGCTCTGATTGGAATATTTCCTCTGTATGCCTCTAGAAAGGCTTGTTCTAATAAGGTATGTATTAGGGAAAAGGGATACCATTGGAGTTAACTAACTCTTTCACTGACTTGAATTTTGTAGAGCAATGGCATATCAATCTACTGGAACAAGGCATTCATCAACATCAGCCCCATACACAGTGTTCTTTGTTGCAAATATGTTTTTGATTTGCCTTGCAATGCAGAGGTGTTCAACGCTAAATTCAGGGTACACCCCTGTATTAGTTCATTCTCACACTGCTAATAAAGACATACCCAAGACTGGGTAATTTATATTAAAAAAATAGGTTTAATGCACTCACAGTTCCACATGGCCGGCAAGGCCTCACAATCACAGCAGAAGGTGAAGGAGGAGCAAAGGCAGCTCAGATTGTACCGTGGCTCCTATTAGCCACAGCTGGAGTGGTTGGAAGACAGGGCACCAAGTCCCTTGGCTGCATACAGAAAGGAGCCCCTGGGCCTGGCCCAGGAAACCATTTTTTCCTCCTAGGCCTCTGGGCCTGTGATGGCAGGGCGCTGACACAAAGGTCTCTGACATGCACTGGAGACATTTTCCCCACTGTCTTGGTGAATAACATTTGGCTCTTTGTTATGTATGCAAATTTCTGCAGCAGACTTGAATTTCTCCCAAGAAAATGGGTTTTTCTTTCCTATCCCATTGTCAGGCTGAAAATTTTCCAAACTTTTATGCTCTGCTTTCTTTTGAACACTTTGCTGCTTAGAAATGTCTTCCACCAGATACCCTAAATCATCTCTCTCAAGTTCAAAGTTCTATAGATCTCTAGGGCAAGGGCAAAATGCTGCCAGTCTCTTTGCATAGCAACAGTGACCTTTACTCCAGCTCCCAACAAGCTCCTCATCTCCATCTGTGACCACTTCAGCCTGGACTTCATTGTCCATATCACTGGAATTTTGGTCAAAGCTATTCAACAAGTCTCTAGGAAGTTTCAAACTTTCTTACATCTTTCTGTCTTCTGAGTTCTCCAAGTCTCTAGGAAGTTCCAAACTTTCTCATATTTTCCTGTCATCTTCTGAGCCCTCCAAACTGTTTCAACCTCAGCTTGTTACCCAGTTTCAAAGTTGCTTCCACATTTTCAGGCATCTTTACAGCAGTACCCCACTACCTGGTACCAATTTACTGTATGAGTCTGTTCTCACACTGCTAATAAAGACTTACCAAAAACTGTGTAATTCATAAAGACAAGGAGATTTAATGGACACACAGTTTGACATGGCTGGGGAGGCCTCACAATCATGGCAGAAGGTGAATGAGGAGCAAAGTCATGTCTTACATGGTGGCAGGCAAGAGAGAGCTTGTGCAGGGGAACTGCCCTTTATAAAACCATCAGATCTTTTGACACTTATTCACTATCATGAGAACAGCATGAGAAAGACCCACCCCCATGATTCAGTTACCTCCCACCAAGTCCCTCGCAAAACATGTGGGGATTATGAGAGCTACAATTCAAGATGAGATTTGTGTGGGGACACAGCCAAACCATATCAACCCCTAAAATAAACCTGTGAAAAAGACACATGTATTTCTGTGTGGCCAGCAAAATCAAGGCTCACTCATTTTAAAATCTCTAGTCGCATTTCAGTATAAAATTTTCTGAAAGCATTTTGTAAAGGTAAAGGAAAGAAGCTAATTTAAGCAGCAACCTTTGAAATAATTCATAGTCATCAAACCACAAGTAGAAAGAGGGACCACAAGCTTGGCAGACATTTTCATATTAAACTCCTCACCCCAAAAAGGAACTGTTTCTGAGGTAAGAAAAGATATGGAGTCTAAGCTCTTTCTGAATAGATCCGTAGGTAAAAAGTGGAAAATATTAAAACAGTGGGAACCCAGAGAAGTCCATACAAGAATCAGGCCTTTAGGAGTAGGACTCTAGCTGAAGCCTGAATTTGGAAAAGCTTTTGGAAACAAGCTCTCCTAGCACAACTTTCTGGGCCAGGGACCTCACCAAAGCAGTCTTCACGACCCATCCACCAGCCTTCGAGTCCAGTCGGCTACACTACAGCACATCAGTGCTACTGCTCTAGGATTAAACCCCTTAGCAAGTCTACACTGCAGTACATCGGGGCTGCTGCTCTAGGATTAAACCCCTTAGCAAGTCTACACTGCAGTACATCGGGGTTGCTATTCTAGGATTAAACCCCTTAGCAGGTGAGGGTTTTCCTCAAGTAACTCACACCATTGGCAGCCTGTAGTGTGCCCTGTTGTTTAAAGGATGACTGGGGATTTTTTAATTAGATAATCAAAGCCCTGGACTAATAGACTATCGCCAATCCCATCTCTATTCCTGCTCATCTCTTCTCTTTCCTTTTCCATCCTCTTTTGTTATTGGTCTGGTAATTATTTGATAAGAAAAATGTACCCTGATCAGTCTATCTCCAGCAATCTGTCACCATCTAAATAGTTTTTGAGGTCCCAATAATTATTCCAACTAAAGGCTTCCCTGATTACCTTCATCCCTAAAATCAGGCAGCATTTAGATAAAAATTACACATAATTTAGTACTTCATCATATTTTGCTATTATTTCTGTTATTTCATGTGTTTTAGCTTTGTCTTTCTAACCTGGATACAAGATCCATGAAACTTTGGTCATTCTCCTGCATTCCCCAAAGAACCTAGAACAGAAAAGAGCACAGGATCCATTGACTGATGGGCTTATTTATTGACGTGGCCCAGAGATGCTCATAACAAGCCATAAATATGAAGTCAAGACATTCACAAAATAAAGAGATTGACCAGGCGTGATGGCTCATGCCTATAATCCCAGCATTTTGGGAGGCCAAGGCAAGACAACTGCTTGACCCCAGGAGTTTCAGACCAGTCTGGGCAACATGGAAAAAACCATCTCTACAAAAAAAACAAAAAATTAAAAATAGCTGAGTGTCATGGCACATACCTGTAGTCCCAGCTACTCAGGAGACTGAGGCAGGAGGATGGCTTGAGCCCAGGAGTTCCAGGCTGCAGTGAGTAATGATTACACCACTGCACTCCAGCCTGGGTGACAGGGTGAGACCCTGCCTCTCAAAACAAAATAAAATAAAATATGAAAAGATCAACATTACAAGGAGAATAAAGTATTTGGCCCAGCACTGAGGAGGTTTTATTTAGGCAGATTTATTATTTTTTTAATCAGTAAATATTGCAATCATTGACAAGGAAGTAGGAGACCCAAAGTAAGCCCCAGTTTTATAGACTGGTTAGAAAGAAAGTGTGGCCCTAAAGCTTATGGCCAGTAAATATAAATAAATAAATAAATAAATAAATAACAAAAATTCTAATTGCAGTGATATGATTAGCACAAGATTCAGACAATAGAATGAATGGTATTTGATGTCTACATTAAGAAATTTCTACAAAACCCAATAATTGGATCTGCTACGAGTGAACAAAGGTAAAACTGTGTAAAAAGATAACTCAAGAATGTGACATTTCCAAAAAGATAGTACATTTAGAATGTCTGTTGGAATAAAGAGACATAGCTATTTTACAACTTAGGGTATTAATAGAAAACTTGAACTGTGGTGAGGCCAGCCACCTGGGAGTCAACTACCATGGGAAAGTAGTTTATTACTCACAGACCCCAAGTGGAAGTGGTGGACACAGCACTTCCCCAGGGCCATGCAGGGAAGCCCAAGGCCAGAGGCAGAGGGAGGGGAAAGCTGGCAAGAGCCTTTATTATGGCTTCCATAGCAAGGCAGGCTTAGCAGGCTTAGGTCTGGCTAGATTGAATGATTTCTGGGGGCTTTGTGGCATAGGAACTGGCCTCAGTTGTCTGGGATATGGTTGTGGGGTGATTAGGGCAGATGAATAGGATAGAGATCTTGAGTGTGAGAGCATGATAAAAAGGTGATTGAGGTGTGGCCCCGGATTTGTCCTAGTGGAAAGCATGCCTTGCAGAACTTCCTGCAAGAAGGGGAGGTAGGGAGGAGAAGGCCGGAACCACTGCAAGGTGATTCAGGCACATGACAGGGTGGTCCAGAAGATTATGCATCCAGCATATCCATGTACAGCAGATGTCAAAGTGTTAACTTTGCAGAGCTAGAAATGTGACTAATACAGTTGCATGGATGCAGCAACTGTTAGGGATACAGAAAAAAATAACAAGGGAACATAACCTATGAATTTAACTATTTCACCTTGAACTGGGTGCTATGGTTTCTGTGTCCCCACCCAAATCTCATGTCAAATTGTAATCCTCAGTGTTGGAGGAGGGACCTGGTGGAAGGTGATTGGATCATGGGGGCAGATTTCTCCCTTGCTGTTCTCGTGATAATGAGTTCTCACAAGATCTGGTTGTTGAAGAGTGTGTAGTACTTCCCCCTTTGCTCTCTTCCTCCTGCTCTAGCCATGCGGGACACGCCGGCTTCCCCTTTGCCTTCCATCATGACCTTAAGTTTCCTGAGGCCTCCCCAGCCCTGCTTGCTGCACAGCCTGCAGAACCATGAGCCAGTTAAACCTTCTTGCTTTTAAATTACCCAGTCTCTGGCAGTTTTTTATTAACAATGCAAGAGTGAACTAATAAGATGGGTCTGAGAATCAGGTCACTATTCAGATAGCAGAAAGCTACCTACTATTGAAACATGAACTCAACCCTACTGGCTGTACCTTGGTCTCTTCTACCTTTGCACCAGAAAAGGAAGCCAATTTACAAACAAGATAGAGAAAGCTAACAAGTGACCAAAATAGATTTCGATTGTAACTGAAATAAACTTAACTACAACATTGAGCCCATAACCTTGGTAGTAAAATAAAATGAAGTGGAAGAAGCCATGCTGTAATAACAATTTAATATTCACCAGATTGTAAAGTGAATCTAGGAGGAATCATTGTGCATGCAAGAAGAAAATTACCACCCGATATAATCTGTGGTGAGACATATTCATGGCCACCCAGAGAGCCCCAAAATCTAAATGGTGATTTTCTTTAAAATGATGTCTGGGTGCTGCTGGTGCTTAATTAATTTCTTCACGTCCTCCAGAGTAGAACGAGCCGTACCTGCTTCAAACATGCCTGAGGATGAGGCTATACCACAGGAAATGAGGCTATACCACAGGAAGTACCTGGATTGCAGGAGAGAAGGGAGTGAGTGGCCTTCACCAATAGCCACTGAGTGATTGCATATTGGAAAGGCATTGGTCTAAAACTTAGAAGGCCTCAGTTCTCACCAGAGCCCTGCCCATAGGCAGCTGTTTGATCCTGAGCAAGGAATTTAGCTCTTTTCATCTGTTGAAATACTGGAGTTTTTCCATGTCTCAGAGAAGTGGGTAGGATTAAAGGATTTTTAAATTTTCTTCCAAGGCAGCCATTACACTAACCCACAACCATCATGCCTGAGCATAAGAACATGTTGCCACTGCCTAGACTGTTAACCCTTCTCTTGTGCTTTTTGGCCGGAAATGCCCCAGACACTTCATTGTACCTTAAAACTTATTTAGAACTTCCACAAGCAACTCTTTAGGGACACCCTTACCACCTCGGAAGGTACATAAATGTAGGCTATTACCAATAGAAAAATCTTAGTATTGGATCACCATGAGCACACAATAGCATCCAAAGCATTGTACAAAGTTGTTTCTTATTTTACTTGTTAGCCCATTCAGAACTAACCTCATGTGGACCTACAGGAGTCCCTCTTCTCTCCCATCTCAATCACTCAAAGTTATTCCCTGGATCTCAGATCTTCCCCCAGCATCCTGGCTCCATATTGGACAAGTAACACTAAATATTGCATAACACCAGTCTTGTACACCTCTGAAGACTTCAGGTTCTTTAGAATTCCATCCTACTAAAGGTTCCCACCCTGAATGGGGCTAGAGAACGAGGAAGGAAGGGAGGGAGGGAGGAAGGAAGAGAGGGAGGGGGAGGGAGGGGGAGGGGAGGGGAAGGGAGGGGAAGAAAGGGAAGAGAAGGAAAGGGAGGGAAGGGAAGAGAAGGAAGGAGGGAAGGAAGGAGAGGGAGGGAGGGAGAAAGAAGAGGAAGGGAGAAGGGGCCACTCTCTAGGTTATTAAGGCAACTTTGTTGAGCAACTATGCTTGTATTTAAATATGAGATTGTCCTAATACTTGGGTTTTCAGAACTCAGAGCTTCAGTCAGGTATGTCGCCGGGCTCAGCCAGGTATAGGTGTAATCTGCTCCTGGGTCTAGTAGGTGATGTACTTGGCCACAATTTTAGTTTTCTTATAAAGAAACTTCATCTTCTAGGCTTCCCCTGTAAGATTCTGTAAAATCTGTTTATCCCTGCCCCTAGTAAACATGTGAGCATATTATTCCTTCCCTTTCTGGTGTCTGCATTAGCACAGCTCATTTCAGGAAGGCCATTCTTTAAATACAGCAAATAAAACACCATTTGTTCTTCAGCATTATAGCTCTCTTCTATTATAAGCACATATTACAGAATTCTATACCTTTTGTGTCCTTGGCAAACTACTAGAGAACTTCTCCTGAACATTGGTTCCCACAGAAAGACAGGGCCTCTTCTCCACATAGCATCGTCACCCTCTGCCCCCAGCCGGGCCTTCAGCTATACTGACGCCCAGGTCCCCACACCCCGGGCCTTCAGCAATACCCACACCCAGGTCCCCCCACTCCGGGATTTCAGCTATACCCCTCCCAGCTCCCCCCGACCCCGGGCCTTCAGCTATACCCACACCCGGGTCCCCCCTACCCCACCTGGGCCTTCAGCTATGCCCACACCTGGGTCCCGGTAAACACCTCTTCACTCATGTCCCTCAAATTTCTATTCTCATTCTGACCTTGCTGTCACTGAATGATCCTCTTCCTTCTGTCAAAAGTAAGCTTAAATTATTTTGAATGGTTTGCTGTTTTTCTCCCAGACAATCCCTGTCACTCCCAATGCCACACGCACCAGGGTTCCCCTGAGCCCACTCTCCAATCCTGAGACAGCAGCTCTGCCCTCTTCCTACTCCCAAGCATTTGCAAGCATCTATGGTTTTATTTCTGTGACTGTGAATATCTGTGAGATGAGATCTTTGTTTATTAATATGTATATACTCTGACATACCTGACTCTTGGGTGTTTCCAGATAAACATTTATCGAATTGATACAAATTACTCCTGAGACGGTGGCAGCATCCCCGGTGGTGAACCCTCTGTGTTCTCAGCGCAGGAGTCCTCCTTTCCACTCTGACTCTTAGCACTCCCTGCCTGACTCCATCTCTGAAGGCAGGGGGTGGCTGGCATGGAAAATAAAAAAGCTCTAAAGACCTGAGCTGTAGTCCTTGCTCTGTCACTCACAGGCCATAGGACCTTAGACACATATCATGCCCATCTGTAAAATCAGGGCTTGGCCTTGTCCGGCAGTTTCCAGCCACATTCCTTGAAGGAGACCTGGAGCCCACCCTGGAGGCAGAGGGAGCCAGAGGAAGGTACAGCCAGACTCCCCTTGCCCCATGCCCAGCAGCCAGCCCACCACTTTGCTGCTTCTACAAAAATCTCACAAGGCTGAAAAGGGCTGGTGTATTAGTCTGTTCTCATGCTGCTATGAAGAAATACCCAAGACTGGGTAATTTATAAAGGAAAGAGGTTTAACTGACTCACTGTTCTGCAGGGCTGGGGAGATCTCAGGAAACTTGCAATCATGGCAGAAGGGGAAGCAAATACCTCCTTCTTCACATGGCGGCAGCAAGGAGAAGTGCAGAGCGAAGGGGGAAAGCCCCTTATAAAACCATCAGATCTTGTGAGAACTCACTCACTACCAAGAGAACAGCATGGAGGTAACCCCCGCTATGATTCAGTTACCTACCACCAGGTCCCTCCCACAATGCATGGGAATTATAGGAGTTACAATTCAGGATGAGATTTGGGTGGGGACACAGCCAAACCATATCAGCTGGTCTAGGTGATCCCTCAAGTTTCCCTCAGCTTCCTGGCATGAATATTCCTATTTATGACCACACTTCCTGCTGCAGCAACAGCCATCCAAACCAAAGCAGACACAGAGTTAAAAGCCCTAATGCATGAAAACATGCTCAGCCCCACTAGTCATTAGGAAAATGCAAATCAAAACCACAATGAGATACCATTTCACAGCCACTAGGATGGCTGCTATAAAGACAAAAAGCAGAAGGTAAAGTTTTATAGGATGTAGGGAAATTGGAATTCTTGTGCACTGCTAGTGGGAATGTGAAATGCTACAGCCACTGTGTAAAAATAGCATAGCAGTTTCTCAACAAAGTAAACACGGAATTAGCTTACGATCCAGCAATTCCACTTCTGGGTATATGCCCCAAAAAATTGAAAGCAGGAACTCAGACATCTGCACACGTATGCTTATGGCAACAGTATTCGCAATAGTCAAAATGTGGGAACCTCCTCAGTGTCCATCAACAGACGAATAAGCAACACATCATGCATCCATTTACAGTGGAATATTATTCAGCTTGAAAAGGAAGCTCAGACACATGCCAGAACGTGGATGAAGCTTGCAGATAGCATGCTAAGCGAAACAAGCCAGGCACAAAAGGACAAATACGGTATGATTCCACTCCTAGGATGTCCCTCAAGTCATCACATTTCATGGAGACAGAAAGTGGAAGGGGGGTGGCCAGGGGTTGAGGAAGGGATAATGGGGAGTCACTGTTTGATGGGGATGGAGTTTCAATTAGGGAAAGATGTACACGTTCCAGAGACGGATGGTGAGGTTTTTGTTGCACAGCAATGTGAATGTACTTAATGCCCCTGAAATGCACACCTAACAATGGCTGAAATGGTAAACTTTATGTTATGACTGACTGACCACACTAGAAAACCCTCTGGAGCCCGGTTCCAGGGAAGGATAACCTGTCAGATAGCAATGAGAAAACACATCCTGGAACAACAGCTGGGACTGTCTAGCTGGTGATATTTACTGACCAGACTTGTGCATGTTTCCTCTTTGGCAGCAAAGCCCCGGCACCACAGTGGCCAGGCTGTGGAGAATAAAAATAGAGCCTCTGCTTTTAGCAGTGTCTTTCATAAGTTGCAAGCACTGACACTTTCATGAAAAAAGCAACACTTTCTTCTTGTGCCCTCTGAAGGGGAGTCACTCCATAAAAAATGGCTCTTGACATGTCAGATTACATGCCTAGTTAGTAGCACTGGGTTCCTACCACTTCCCTAGAACCTCTGAACATCTCTTTTCCAAAATGCATTTTAACCATGAAGCTGCCCCAAGAACAAACTCTGTAAGTCTGATGCTGCTGGCTCACCTACCCACACGCACACAGCTTCAGTGACTTTTCCGACGCTGCCTGGAGCTTTACCTTTCCAGCTGGATTGATGATTCAACAGGGTTACCTGTATGTCAACCTACTTTTGCTTTTTAGGGGCAAACCTGATTTGCTGGTGTTCTAGAAGTATACCCTATTCATTACAAAAACTGTGCATGTATGCGATGTTTTGCGAGTCTACTCAGTCAATCGCACGACCTAGCTGCACACCTTCAGATAGAAGCTCCCTGAGGGCAGGCCCCTTATCAGTGTTTTTCAGCTCTGTGCCACCAGCACATGGTTCACAAGAGAAGCTCAAGCAATCAGCACAGCGACATGACGTCCATGGCTCCAGGCACGTTTTCTTTGGGGCAGAGAGGGGTGGTTCCTCTATATAAATACTAAAAATACTCATTTTTAAATGAGTTGATATAAACATGAATATGATCCAAGCTGAATTCATTATTACTATAACCATTTTTCTCTTTTTATTTTCAAAGAAATGAGACCAAGGTGGGCAGATCACAAGGTCAAGTGTTTGAGACCAGCCTGGCCAACATAATGAAACACCGTCTCTACTAAAAATACAAAAATTAGTGGGGCATGGTGGCGGGCATCTGTAGTCCCAGCTACCAGGGAGGCTGAGGCAGGAGAATTGCTTGAACCTGGGAGGTGGAGGTTGCAGTGAGCCGAGGTCATGCCACTGCACTCCAGCCTGGGCAAAAGAGCAAGACTCCATCTCAAAAACAAAAACAAACAAAAAGAAATGAGAGTTGAACGATTTCCAGGGGTTCCTGGCAGTATCATGGCCTAGGCCCTGTGCCTCCAACAGCCCGGGGAGGAGCTCCTCTGCACACAGCTGGATGAGCATGAAGCAGGGGGAGAGAGCAACAACCCACCCTACCACCCCCTCCTTGGTTGTTTTGAACCTCAAAGAGACAGCCAGCAGTAGATGGTGACCAGCAGAACCTCGCAGGCGCACGACGGGTTCATCCACCCATTTCCATGACATTTTTTACAGGTAAGAAACCTTAAGGCTGCAGTTGCCAAACTTCTCCAGGGTCACACAACTGGTGAGTAGGAGAACAAGGACCAGAACCAAAAAGTCAGCCCTTCCCACTCCCGGAATCATGTCTTGTGTTCCTGAGGTGAGCTTTGGGGTCTTCTGCCTTCAGCCTGCTTTTTGAAACTATTTCCTACCTCTCCAAAATCCCACCTTTTCAAAACATACCCCTGCACATAGCACCAAATCCTCACAGTTACTGCTGCAGCCAGGCATTGAGATGAGGAAGAGGAGATGAAAACACGCAAGACACAGACTCCGGTTTTAA
The DNA here is from genome assembly GCF_000001405.40 of Homo sapiens. Lineage (NCBI taxonomy): Eukaryota > Metazoa > Chordata > Mammalia > Primates > Hominidae > Homo > Homo sapiens. The sequence goes on along the minus strand of NC_000010.11, from coordinate 3,351,784 downwards.
GGAGCTCACAGCCCTCCATGTCTTTGCTCCTGTCCAGCATTTATAGCCTCTCAGAAGTTTCTGGAATGTTCCTCAAGATTCTTTCCACCTTTTAAATTCTAGTCTTTCAAAAGTGACTCAAATTATGTCTTCTTTATGAAGGCTTTTCTGAGGCAGACATAATTAGTCTTTCTCTTCTGTCAGCTCCCAGATTATTTACGATAGGGTGGCCATTCTGTTTTATATAAGAGAAAACTGCAAAGACTTTATCTTCTTTTTTATATTGCAAATTCCTTGAGACAAAGGCTGAATTTAATTAATTAATTAGAGTACCTCAACATGGGCCTTGCATTCATTTGTTTATCCATTCATTCATTTTTTTCTCTAATGACATATTTATTAAGGGTCTACAATATTTTAGGTGCACAGAAAACAGGGAAAAAATGTAATTAAGTTTTCAACTTCCACATCTGACTGCTGTTCACAGAGCAGTAGCTGAAACTAGAGAGAAGAAGTTGCTGTCTTGTGTCTTTCTTTAGAGTCATTGATTCCTTCAGATTTTTCATATGCGGCACTAAACTGTATATAACATAAATACAAACCGTGTAGAAGAGATGAGAGACAGTGTTTGGACTGGAGTTGTCTAAGATGTCAAGAAGACATGATGAGTTGCCCAGGCTGAATGGGGAGGAGGATTGAAAAGAGTGTTCACTTCACGGGGTTGGGGGGAGGAGAAGAGGGTGCGGAACGGCTGATCAAATGCACCAGCAGCAGCTCGCGGGTTGCAAGGAGAGGAAGAGGAAACCAGGAAGACAGGAGGAGGGGCCCCCATTGGCAAGGTGCCCAAAATGAATTTGTGTAGGAAGAACCGGGACTAGATTGAGGACTTGGAAAGAGGTGGACATGCTGCATTTTAACAAGGAGAAACCCTAGGCTGAGGTGTTGACTCTCTCAAGGTGGACACTCAGAGAAACCCTAGGCTGAGGTGTGGACTCTCTCAAGCTGGACACTCAGGCCATGGCTTGGTCATCTCACTCTCCGCACTGGGAGTTAAGACTTGGCGCCAGAGAATTCAATGGTCGCATCTCAGTTCTTGTTTCTAAGCCTCCTTCCAGAGCGCTGCAAGGAAAAGGGCAAAAGGGAAGCACACGGCTTCGCAAGGCATATCCCTGCTGCCCCTCAGACCCTTGCACACTCCTGAGCTCAGCATGTGGGTTCAGCGTGGGGACTGGTTTGAGGGATCAAACAGGCAAAGAGAAGGAAACCTCAGTCATTTAGTGGTTCTATCTTCATCCTCCCTTTCCCAAGCCAGCACAGAACTAAGAGAGAGCGTTCTTATCCCCACCTCTTCCCCTCCTTCGAGAGCCACACAGCCACCAGGAGGCACCTTAGCCTGTCTGTCCTCCCCTGGTAGGAGTGGGTCCCATCCCACGCATTAGGCAGGTGGGGAGCAGAAGGGAAAATGAACTTCAGTGCCCGGGCTCATCCGCTGGAGATGCAGCTCCAGTCCAAGGGGCTTGGCAGCTCCAGCTCTCCGAAACCACGCACCCCGCAACGCCTCTCTCCCCATCGCCTGTGCAAAGCCCCCTTGCTTCACAGTTGCAATTTCTTTTGGAGCCTGTTGAGAGTGTTCGAATCAATGATCTCTAAAGTCACTACCAGCCACATGCTTCCTTTTTTTCTTTCTCCTTCTTTGTTATTCCGAAGTACCAGGGCATGCTAGTACGAGGAGGGATCAGTGTGGATTTTTTTTTTTTTTGAGACAGTCTCTCTCTGTCATCCAGGCTGGAGAGCTGTGGCATGATCTCGGCTCACTGAAGCCTCCACTTCCGGGTTCAAACAATTCTCCTGCCTCAGCCTCCCAAGTAGCTGGGACTACAGGCTCACACCACTGTGCCCAGCTAAGTTTTCTGTATTTTTAGTAAAGACAGGGTTTTGCCATGTTGGCCAGGCTGGTCTTAAACTCCTGAGCTCAGGCGATCCGCCCGCCTCAGCCTCCCAAAGTGCTGGGATTGCAGGTGTGAGCCACCGTGCATGGCCCAGAGTGTGGATTTGGAACAAAAAACAGTTATGACCAATGAAGGTTGGCAGAAGGGAAGATTTTGTGGGTTTTTTTTTCTCAGATCATTGAAGATAATAAAAGCAGGTAAGAGTTATGGAATTCAAGGAGCACCGCATTCCTTTTTTTCTTCCAGACAGTTGACTTATAATGAAAATCCTGAGCTTCAGCCCTAAGAGAAATAAAGTTACAAGACATAAGGTTTAAAATGCCGGTTCCTTACAGTATGACATAGATATTTTTAAAATAATCATAACATTTTCTTTCTGATTAAAAAAACCCACTAATTTATTCTAGTAATCCAGAATCCTTGTGGGTGGTGATATGAAATTCTATTATTGTTCAGTTAATGTACTACAGTTGTTTCCATAATTTAGAAAATTAAATTTCCATGAAACTTGTTCTAAAGAATTTTCATAAAGTAACAGTGTGATTCTTTTACCATAGCTATAAAGAATATATTTATATATTTTTTTCACTTAGATTATTTTTTGCTTTGGTTTTCTGTGACAATTTTCTTGCCTGGCACTGTCTTGACAAAGCAATTCTCTTCCATTGCTTAAGAAAAAAAAAAAAACTGTTACAGGCAGTGCATAATTATATTTATTTAGATTCTTTACCTAAATCCTATTTTAAAATTTGTATTACTAAAGCAGAACCTACCAGCAAAATGGAAAGCAAAGAGTATAATACTACATTTATAGAATATATTTCTAATTTAAGAAGCATTTTTCTGTGTTCTGAAATCTTAATGTGTATGATTTTATATTTCACTGGGTTCAACTATTAAGAGTAGACTTCCAATACCACATGAAGCTGGGTTCCCCCACTTTAAATAGCAAGCAATCTCCTTTAGAATAGGCATCAATTGGAACTCTCAAGCAGCGGTGCCACAGAAGGAGTATGTCACTGTGAGTATAATATGATGAAAAGGTAAACTCAGTTATGGAGTGAAATGCAGGGGGAGCTTTGAGTCACTGATGCACGTGCTGCTGTGGCTCTGACTCCGCTAGCTTTTGTCTTACAGCTTGGTTTGTCTGATGATTGTCACTGTTGCCCGTGAATTGCAAGGTTCCCACTTAATAAGGTTGAACATCCATAGCAGGCCTCCATTCATATACTTCCAGGAACATGTTATGTCATAAAATGAGCACCCAGCTACATTAGTCGGGATCGTGTATCTTTGTTAATATTCATTCACAGGAACATAGATGTATGTTCTCAATATCTAAAATGGACAGTTTTTTTCCCCATTGCTGAATTTACATTTGAACCTCCCAATGGAAAGATTTGAAGACAGGTAAACTTAGACGGGGTGGGGGGTACTCACCGCTATACTAACCATGGAGACAGGTAAACTTACCAGCCCACAAATAATCATGCAACTTTAAGTAAAGTCAGAACCACCTAGGGGAAGGGAAGGGTTGCAGACACATCTGAAGATTATCAATGAATATTTTGTTGTGGGCTTGGGGAATTCTTAAGATGGATTAGTCAGCTAACATCAGGTACAAAGTTGGCCCCAGATTTAATGAACTTTGCTTATGTCGAATATACCAAAATCCATGGAATTAGCCAAATCTCTGCTAATTTGAAGCACCTGGGATCTCTCCTGTCCGTATGTTTTCACTTAAGGGCCAATTTGCTCTAGAAGAGCTCAAACAAAAGTTCTAAAACATATTGCCACAATGTCACACTTAACCAATTGGCATGCACTTAAGCAGCATGCAGACATTTCCAGTGATATGTGTAAATCCTGTATGAACAGTGTCAGCTGTTGACAAATAAGGTGATTCAGTCCGGGCAGAAAGCAGGCGTACATGCCACACTGGCTGCGTCTGGGTTAGTGGGGAGGGAAAATGCACAGCGCTCAAGGGCTCAGAGCAACAAGAGCTGCATGAAAGCACCTTGTTTAAATGGCAGCAGTGTTCTGGGCACCAAAGCTGCTCAGATTTGATTCCTCATCTGCAAATAAGTCATCATACCGATGGAGGATGGCTCCTATCTGCTTGTAACTTTATCCCTCCTGTCTCTTAGGTGCCCAGATGAGAGGAGGTACTTTCCAGTGTCGTTGCTGGCATTCTACCAGCAGCTCGAGGCCCTGTTGGTCTAGAGAATGCTGGCGACAATAGCTGCATTGTGGCAGTCCCGTGCTGACAGTGCAGGGTGGCCTTCACACTTCAAATGAGGGATCAACATGAGCATAACTAATGGAGCCATCAAAGACGTAGGTTTAAAGTCCCGATCTGAAAACACCCACACATCACACATGCCTCCTCAGGGCTTTTCCCAGGGGAAAAAATGGCCTGGAAAGGCAAATGGGACACAGCCAAGAAGGTGGTGGGTTGCTGTGTGCCAGGTCGCTCTCTCCGAACTTTCATCTCGCTGTGTTGTCCCAGTGGGTCCTGGAGATTCCCAGGAGAGGGAAGGAGGATGCAGAGTTGGGGTTTCTCACATGTCCCACTGTGCATGGTGACAAGGAGCATCCCAGGGCACTGCGCCCGATGAGTGGGCCACGAGACTCACACTGGCATCCCTGTGGTGCCAAGATGGGGCCGTGGGGTAGAATGGGCCATACAGTGGGAGAATGTGGTCAAGACGAAAAGCAGCCTGCATTCAAAAGAGGAAACCGTGTGCACTGTGGGCTTGGGAGCCGGCTTCCCACCCCATGCTAATGTGTGGAATCGGCCTCGGAAGAAAGGAGCAGTAACCATGGTGCTTGCAGGAACTTTAAAAATCTGGGCCAAGAAGCCCAAGCCTGGAGAGAGTTCTAGAAAGCGTGGAGGCACATTTATCCAGCAGCATTCACAGAGTCCCTTGTGAGTCCAAGCAAGGGGCAAGAATGGTAAAATCTAATTTTAACAAGAACCCATTGGGTCAGAATGGATCAAGAGACATCTGTCATCTGTCACTTATAGACAAATTGAAATGACATCAAAAGACAGACATGATGGTTTTATGACAATTTGCAACTTCTTTAAAAAAAAAACCCGAGAATTTTGGTAACAGATCAAATCACTAACAAACTGGAGAATTCCTTAGGGATACCCCACTCGACTGCAAACCTCCTCCAGTGAATTAAATTAAATGAATTTAGCAGAGTTTTCTGCACGAGCTGCAAGTCAGGGATGTCATGTGTTTTACTAGATGGAAATTCCAGCTAACTCCACTGTGCTATGATGTCTTATTTGTGGTGTCTCCACACAGGTGCATGCAATTTTCTTTTTTTTTTTTTTTTTGAGACAGAGTTTTACTCTTGCCCAGGCTAGAGTGCAATGGTGCAACCTCAGCTCACTGCAACCTCCGCCTCCCAGCTACAAGTGATTCTCCTGCCTCAGCCTCCCGGGTAGCTGGAATTACAAGCACCTGCCACCACACCTTGCTAATTTTTTTTGTATTTTTGGTAGAGATGGGGTTTCACCATGTTGGCCAGACTTGTCCAAACTCCTGACCTCAAGTGATCCGCCCACCTCAGCCTCCCAAAGTGCTGGAATTACAGGTGTGAGCCACTGCACCTGGCCGCGTGCATTTTTTTAAATGCAAAGTGAGAAGAGTCGATGTTGCATTCTCTGGTTTTCCTCCTACTTTCACTTTTTTTGCCATTCTCTGAACAGCTGGGTCGTAAGGGAGGGTGCAGTGCTCAAGATGCTCTCTCCTTCTTCCAGAGAGAGAGAAGCAGTCATGACCTCCAGGACCTAGGCTGGACCATCAGGTGAGCCCTGATGCTGTCTCCATGGATACAAAGAGTTTCATACAACATCAACCTCAGGCAAGACCACTCTGAGACCAGGATAGATCAAGAAAAAGACAAGACCTTTCTGTAATGATCTCTAAACACAAACAAAATATGCACATTGTATGACTCATGAAAATGACCCACCATCCCATTATCCTGGCTAATGAGAGGGAGCGACCGCTATTTCTTTACCAATTATAGCCTGGTCTTGCTATAGTCTGCTCGACTTTGAGATAAGACAGATGAAGACCCCCCCCATCCGGGAATGAGCCCAGCTTCCTGACAGCACCCAGTCCACAGAGTCCCCACTTTCTTCAATCACCCCCAAAACACCTAACACAAGCTCAGTTCCCCCCGTCCTTCCTAACACCCTCTTGCTGTGAGCTTCACACTCCTCAGGGTGTGCATTCTCCCTGGCTGCGATTTCACCCACCCCGGGATGTCCTGTAGTCTCTGGAGACATGGACACCACCCTCCCCACAGGCAGGCTGGATCATGGCTGGAGCTTCAGTTCTTGTCCCTGGGAAGACAGGTTGCCAATCTTTACCTCTAGCACTAATCTCTCATTTGGATTAGACGCCAATTTTCAAACGCCTGCTGAATATTCCCGGATGCTATGCTGCTGGAAACTCAAATTCAATTTGCCCCAAATGAAACTCATCATCTTTCTACTTCCCTGCAGCTCCCATCACATAATACCACGATGAATGTTTAATCTTTCAGGCTCTAAAAAGAAAAGAGAACTTATAGAAAGTTAAAAGTTGCTAGGTCATATATTAGGAACTCTTTTGATTCTTGACCGGGTGTGAAATGGTACTTGAGTAATATCAAAGAAAAAATTATTCTGACCCTTGTTAAAGACAGGAAGGAAGGCATTTTGAGAAAGGACTTCCCAATGGGGTTTGCAGTAGGGAGAGAGAGCTGGGGATCAACAACAGGTAAAACAAGGACACGTGGACATTTACAGCCACGGAGCAGGGTGGGGTCAGTGGATGGTACATCATGGGGACGGGGATTCTTGCTAGACCGTCTCAGCAGGATTCATGCTGCAAGCAGCCCAGGGTGGTAAGATATCCAGGATGAGTGATGAGAAATCTGATCAGCTATCAAGAGTCGAGAATTTTTGCTAAACTGACCCAGCAGGATTCTTGCTAAAACTGGACTAAGCCGGTCAAGGACAGAGCCCAAGGTCGGGGTCCAGTCCAGAAGAAAGTGCAGACACTGCCTTGGGTTTGGTCAAGAAGACGGTCTCTGTCCATATCTGTAGCTTTATTTATGCTTCACTTTATTATCTTAAGAGTTCCAACAGGAATAACAAAACAGCCAATGTTAAAATTTTAAAAATGTAACATGGTAAAATGATGGTGTTCCTTATATGTGAAGATTGGATCTGGTGGAAAAAGTTGCCCAAAGTAGCTATTTTCTTTCAATCTGGCTCTTTTTAAAATCCTGAGAAATCCTAGCTTTGTCTAATTTATGCTGGTCTCTCCCCACTGCTGGCATTACCTTAACACCAACGTAAATGGAAGAAAGTTGCAATTTACTAAAACATGAGTCAAAATGCCAGCATGAAAGTTTCCTGCCTGCAGACAGAGTCCTCTGCCTCCCAGAGTCAGTGCACTGGCATTGAAGAGGGTCTCTCCTCCCATACTGTCCACAGCTAACACCCGGGTAACAGCCACATGTGCTGATGGCCTTGTGATCCACACCAATAGCTTCTGAGACGATTTTCAGCGGACTCCCTCACCGAGTTTCCTTCTCTTTCATTTTATTTTTTCCTCCTCGGTTTCTGTTTCCATCTCCTCTGTGACCATTGTGTGCTCCAGCCCCAAGATTCTTCTTCAGAGGATCCAGGGCGTGAGGAGCAGGATCCGTCAGTGAAAAACACGAAACAAAACAGAAAGCTCTTCCAGGGTGTGTTGAGGATCAGCAAGACCCAGAAATTCCTTTTTTGTTTTATTTTGTTTTTGAGACGGAGTCTCGCTCTGTCGCCCAGGCTGGAGTGCAGTGGCACGATCTCGGCTCACTGCAGGCTCCGCCTCCCAGGTTCACGCCATTCTCCTGCCTCAGCCTCCCGAGTAGCTGGGACTACAGGCGCCCGCCACCACGCCCGGCTGATTTTTTATACTTTTAGTAGAGACGGGGTTTCACCGTGTTAGCCAGGATGGTCTCGATCTCCTGACCTCGTGACCGCCTGCCTCGGCCTCCCAAAGTGCTGGGATTACAGGCGTGAGCCACCTTGCCCAGCCCAGAAATTATTTATTAACCAAAATTATTTAAGGCCTGGAAATTGCCATTGTGTCAATACAATACATTCTACCTTATTATTTCTTAAAAATATTAAAATAAAATATTACTTTTTATATAAAAAGTTAAAGGCTAAATAAAGCAGTTCATTTTTATATTTTTAGGGACAGAGTCTCACTCCATCACCCATGCTGTAGTGCAGTGGTGTGATCAAGCTTACTGCCGCCTGAAATTCCCAGGCTTAAGAAATGTTCCTGCCTCTGCCTCCTAGTAGCTGGGATTACAGGTGTGCACCACCATGCCTAGCTAATTTTTTATTTTTATTTTTTTTTAGAGATGAGGTGTTGCTATATTGTCTAGGCTACTCTTGAACTGACTTCAAGCAATCCTCCTACATTGCCCTTCCAACGTGCTGAGATGACAGGACAGG